>NT_187537.1:0-224108 GCF_000001405.40 Homo sapiens | reverse complement strand
CATTCTGGGCTGTTGTATTCTCCCATGTTGCTATCTGACGAGCACAGCATGGGCTCAGAGTACAGAGAGGAGGAACCAGGTGACAAGGATAGGTCTGGGGTGAAGGCTGGTGCCTTGGGGAAGGAGAGAGAGGCCCCATTCTAAAGGGATGCCATTGGAAGCTCATAGTGATAAAGCAAAGCCGACAGGTTTTGGGGCTGGGAGTTAAACACACAGCTCTGGTTTCTGCCTTTTCACAGTGGTGATGAATGGGCACTGAGACCCTCTCAAGCTAAAGTTGTCATCACTGATCTTCATAGTCTGAAGGTGCATGAAATGGTCAACTTTCTTCCAAAAGGCTTTTATGCCTAAGTCTGTGGTTAGTGTATAAACAGATATTTACTGAAGTCCTGCTGGGTGCAGACACTGTGGCCAGCCCTGAGGCTACAGTCGAGATGAAGCCAGTTTCTGTCCTCATGGAGACCTGTCTATTGATAAGAGAAAGCTCACTGAGCATTGACCCTGTGCCCACTGCTTTTGATGCATCTCTCATTTAATCCTTCTATCAAATCTGTGAGATAAACACATCACCATCATCCCTATTTCACATTTAGGGAAACATATGCTTAGAGAGGGTAAGTAACTTGGTCAAGGTCGCACAGCTTCGAACTCTCATCCCACAGGTGCAGGAATGAGAGGCAGCAGCCAGGGAAGCCAGGGTCTCCGGAAGTCCTTGTCTCTGGGTGGTTATACAGAGAGAGAGAGAGAACACGATTGTCTCAGCAATGGGTCTTCTTCTGAGTCTTGAAGGAGCACTTCCAGAGCCTCTCGGTGTTAAACATCATGTTGTGAATGACTCCGTGAGCTCTGGCCCAGTGATCTTGGGGATAAAGGAGGGGAGGTACAGATAAGCTCTTCGAATGGATGTTGCCGGGGTGTCAGTGTTCTTTGAGGGCACAGACTATGTGTCACCAAGGAAAGAGCCCAGTGCCTTTTCTCATTGCTCAAGAGATTGAAGGGGTAGGAAGAAAAGATGTTAAGTTATAAATACGTTTCAGTTTTGGTACCAGTTGAACCAATTTACGTTTTGAAGAGGAGAGTCTTGCCTACAAAGTGACCCCCCGGGTTTTCCTTCTGCTTATGGAATCCAGGCAATGGGCAAAGAGAAAAAGAAAACTAAGGAATCAGCCAGGTGCAGTGGCTCGTGCTTGTAATCTTGGCACTTTGGGAAGCTGAGGCAGGTGGACTTCTTGAGTTCAGGAGTTCAAGACCAGCCTGGGCAACATAGTGAGACCCCGTTTCTACAAAAAATACAAAAAAGTTGCTGAGCGTGGTGGCATGCACCTGTAGTCCCAGCTACTTGGGAGGCTGAGGTGGGAGAACTACTTCATCCCAGGAGGCTGAGGCTGCAGTGAGCCATGATCGTGCCACTATACTCCAGCCTGGGTGGCAGAGTGAGGCCCTGTCTCAAAAAAAAAAACCCAAAAAGTTAAGAAAAAGAAAACTAGGGAATCTAGACAGAATAAGTTTATATATATAATAAAGAACTGAGCTAGAACTGGGTTGACTGAGTAATTATTTGAATTGCTTTTGACTGAATTTTTCCTATTGCAGTCTACCTTTGTTTTTGTGTGTGTGTGTGGTTTGTTTTGTTTTGTTTTGTTTTGTTTGGTTTGGTTTGGTTTGGTTTAGTTTCGTCTTTGTGTTTTTTTGAGACTGGGCCTTGCTCTGTTGCCTAGGCTGCTGGAGTGCGGTGGCGTGATCTCAGCTCACTGCAACCTCTGCCTTCTGGGTTCCAGCAATTCTTCTGCCTCAGTCTCCCCAGTAGCTGAGACTGCTGGGCATGCACCACCAAGCCAAGCTAATTTTTGTGTTTTTAGTAGAGATGGGGTTTCACCATGTTGGCCAGGCCTGGTCTTGAACTCCTGGGCTCAAGTGATCCGCCTGCCTCGGCCTCCCAAAGTGCTGGGATTACAGGTGTGAGTCCCTGCGCCCAGCTAGAGTCTACCTTTCTTTGAATTCACTGCAGTGCAAAGACTGAGGCATGTGGAACTCCAGGTGTGTATGGGTTACATAGAGATGCTAGGGGCTGATTAAGGAAGGAAAGATATGAGAAGCCTGCAGAGCATGCTTTCCCAGACTGTATGGGCCCTGGGAAAGGAGAAGTGGACAGAAAGGGAACACTGGATGCCCTGGAAGAGAAGATTCATCCAAGTCATCAGGGAAGTTACTAATGCAAGGGAAGAAATGCAGAGACAGGGCCAAACACGCTTCTTCCAAGTCCTTTCTGTCCGCTCAGTCACCTCTATGCTTATTTTTCTTCTTTCCTGTAAATAGTGTCATGCGTTTTCTTCCCATTCCTAGTCACTCCTAGTCAACTAACTCCTCTCTTTACCGTCTTTTCACCAGAACTTGAAACCTCCTCTCCTTCATGTATTAGTGATCATGTTTCTCCATAATACTGCTAGAAAGTAGAATTGAAACCTGGAAACCCTGCATTTGAGTACCAGATCTGCCTCTGCTAGCTATTTGAGAAGTTATTTTTTTCCATTCTTTTTGTTCTTGTTGAAACAGGTTGTCACTCTGTCACCCAGGCTGGAGTGCAGTGGTTCAATATTGGCTCACTGCAGCCTCAACCTCCTGGGCTCAAGCAGTCCTTCCACATCAGCGTCCTGAGTAGCTGGGACTGCAGGTGTGTGCCACCACACCTGGCTAATTTTTAATGGTTTTTTTTTGGTTATTTATTTCTTTTTGTAGAGATGGGGTCTTGCTATGTTGCGCAGGCTGGTCTCAAACTCGTGGGCTCAAGCGATCCTCCTGCCTTGGCCTCAGATAAAATGGGAAAAGTTCCCTTGTCCCCCTCGAAGGGCATGTGATGGGGGTGTGGTTCGCTTCATCAGTGCCCCACTGCTCAAACCTCTAGGGGAGCATACAGACAGGCAGGGAGCCCCATGGCAGGGTCTAGGGGTGAATGTTTGTAGTTGAAGCCCCAGTGGGCGTGTGTTACAGGGTGCTCTTTTAGTTTAGCCGTCCGTAGGTAGCTTGTGTTAGTCGGCTCAATTAGACCCCCACCTTATTGCAAAGACAGAGGGCTCTCTTTGTCCTGGGGTTCTTGCCTTGGTGTACCGGAAGCGGTGTGATCTCAGCTCACTGCAAGCTCCGCCTCCTGGGTTCACGCCATTCTCCTGCCTCAGCCTCCCAAGTGGCTGGGACTACAGGCGCCCGCCACCACGCCTGGCTAATTTTTTTGTATTTTTAGTAGAGATGGGGTTTCACTTTGTTAGCCAGGATGGTCTCGATCTCCTGACCTCGTGATCTGCCCGCCTTGGCCTCCCAAAGTGCTGGGATTACAGGAGTGAGAGTGCAAGGTTTTATTGAGTGGAAGTAGCTCTCAGCAGATGGGGGAGCCAGAAGGAAGATGGTTTTCCCCTGGAGTCAGGTGAGTGGCCCGACTCTTCTCTGACTGTCCCAGCCAAACTCTGCTTGTTGTGCCAGTCAGTGGCCTGCAGTGTGCCGGTGCCTATTGGTGTGTTCCTCTTGACGTGCAGCACCCATGTGTTCCTCCACTGATGTGCTCCTCTCGAAGTCCAGCCGCCTGTGTGTCTGCCTGCTAGGGTCTCAGGGTTTTTATAGGCACAGAATGGGGGTGTGGCAGCCAGGGTGGTCTTGGGAAATGCAACATTTGGGCAGGAAAACAAAAATCCCCATCCTCACCTAGGTCCGTGGGCACAGGCCCTGGGTGGAGCACTAGCCAGCGACAACACCCTCCTCTACCCAGTACTTCCCTTCTTCACTTCCATATCATTTAAAGGGACCACATTCTTCCCTTCCGATCACTTCCCTTCTGTATCACAAAGTGCTGGGATTATAGGCATGAGCCACTGGTCCCAGCCAATTCCGTTCTTTTAATGCAAACTAGAAAATAGGTGTTCAGAAAGGCCTGCCCTATCCACCTCAGGGAGTTGCTATGAAGATCAAATTAGATCATGTGCAACAGAAGTTTAGAAAAGATTCCAAAAGCACTGCACAATGGGAATGTATTTTTAAACTCCACTGAGTGGACTTAAAACTATGTTTTTTACTTTCTTTTTTTTTTGTTTGAGACAGAGTTTCACTCTTGTTGTCTAGGCTGGAGTGCAATGAAGCCATCTTGGCTCACTGCAACCTCCGCCTCCCAGGTTCAAGTGATTCTCTGCCTCAGCCTCCCAAGTAGCTGGGATTACAGGCACCCACAACCATGCCTGGCTAATTGCTTTCTTTCTTTCTTTCTTTCTTTTTTTTTTTTTTTTTGGCTTTTTAGTAGAGATGGGGTTTCACAGTGTTGGCCAGGCTGGTCTCGAACTCCTGACCTTAGGTGATCCACCCACCTTGGCCTCCCAGAGTGCTGGGATTAAGGCTTGAGCCACCGCACCCAACCTGTGTTTCTTTTTTAAGCAAGAAAACAAATGCCTCTCCCCAGCACTCACTAAACCAATCCCTCTTTTTTTTTTTTTCCATAGGATTCTTATCCTTCTTGCCCCAGTGCAAACAATCTATTTTCTTTTGGCCCCTCTGTCCATCTGTGAAAGGGTCAGGCTTTCTAGCTAATCCTTAATCAAATATTTTTGATGACCACAGTCAAGACAGTACTTATTATTTTTTTTTGAGATGGAGTTTCGCTCTTGTTGCCCAGGCTGGAGTGCAATGGCGCAATCTCAGCTCACTGAAACCTCTGCCTCCAGGGTTCAAGAGATTCTCTTGCCTCAGCCTCCCAAGTAGCTGGGATTACAGGTGCACAACACCACGCCCAGCTAATTTTTGTATTTTTAGTAGAGATGGGGTCTCTCCATGTTGGTCAGGCTGATCTCGAGCTCTTGACCTCAGGTGATCTACCCACCTCAGCCTCCCAAGGTGCTGGGATTACAGGGGTGAGCCACCCTGCCCGGCCAAGACAGTGCTTATTAATGCCTGAAATGCATTCAGGAGCACATGAGCTGGCTGTGGCTGTTCTAACAAAGTTCCCCAAATGGGTGGCTCAGGACACCAGAAAGTCATTCTCTCCAGTTCTGGAAGCTTGATGTCTGAAACCCGGCAGGGTCATGCTCCCTCTGAAGGCTCTAGGGATGAATCCTTCCTTGCCTCTTGTGGCTTCTGGTGGCTGCTGGCAATCCTTGGCTTGTGGCCACATCATTCCATTCTCTTCCTTCATTCTCATGTGGCCTTCTCCCCTGTGTGTCTCTGTCTCTTCTTCTCTTCCCGTGAGGATGTCATTATTACTCCATTTAAGGTCCACGCTATTCCAATATGACTTCTTTGTAATTATATCTGCAGTGACCCTATTTTCTTTTCTTTTTTTGAGATGGAGTCTTGCTCTGTTGCCCAGGCTGGAGTTCAGTGGCACAATCTCAGCTTGCTGCAACTCTGCCTCCTGGGTTCAAGTGATTCTTCAGCCTCAGCCTCCAAAGTAGCTAGGGTTACAGGTGCATGCCACCATGTCTAGCTAATTTTTATGCTTTTAGTAGAGACAGAGTTTTGCCATGCTAGCCAGGCTGGTCTCGAACTCCTGACCTCAAGTGATCCTTCTGCCTCAGCCTCCCAAAGTGCTAAGATTACAGGCATGAGCCACCATGCCCCACCCCTATTTTCTAATAAAGTCACATTCTGGGATTCCTGGTGAATGTGAATTTTTGGAGGACAGTATTCAGTCTAGCGAAAGGCAGGGCATCCTCATTTTCTTCCCTACTTCAGAAATAAGGAAGTTAACTTCAATCCTTGGAGAGAGAGAGAGACTTCCTGAGCTTCCAACAATCAATTATCCAAATATTAGTCGCAGAAGAGCACTAAGGGTTGTGCACAGCACGTTGCCAGCCCGTTCTCCGAGTCTCAAGTTTAAGGTGAACGCTAATCCTGAATGAGTTTTAAAATGTGTTTGGCATTTCCTCGTCATTGTAAAATGTTCTCACATCGTGATGGCTGGGCCTTCCCTCTCAGGTGTAATCTGCGAAGTCAGACGTGACATAGCCTGGGTGAGGTGGGCCAAGCTGGGAACTGGGTTAGGAGGGAAGCTGGGGAATGAGCGCCAAGGTCTCAGATCCCAAAATGGCTTTAGCCTGATTCGCCCAGAGGGACCTGGTAAAAAATACACATTCCAGAGCCCACCAAGGACCTAATGAATCAGAATTACCTGGGAAGGAGCCTGGGGAGCTCTGTTTTCAGAAGCAGCCCAGCAGAATCCTACCGTCAGACAGGGCTAGGAAACCGAGCTCAGTCTAGGGCAGTAGTTCCCAAACTCGTCTGTGCTTCAAAAAATACAGATGCTGATGGCCAGGCATGGTAGCTCAGGCCTGTGATCCCAGCAATTTGGGATGCTGAGGCGGGAGGATCACTTGAGCCCAGGAGTTTGAGACCAGCCTGGAGAACATAGGGAGATACTGTCGCTATAAAAAATTAAAAAATTAGCCAGGCATAGTGGTGCCCGCCTGTGATCCCAGCTACCCTGGAGGTTGAAGTGGGAGGGTTGCTTGAGCCCAGGAGTTGGAGGCTGTAGCGAGCTATGATTGTGCCCCTGCACTCCAGCCTGGGTAACAGAGTGAGGCTCTGTCTCAAAAACCAAACAGAACAAAAAACAAAAAACAGATGCTATGTCCCATTCCAGAGGTTGAGGTTTAGTTATTCTGGGGTGGGGTGTGGCCTGGGTTTTAGAACACTTAGAAAATCCCAGGTGATCCTAAAGTGTAGATGAGTTTGGAAAGCACACATCTAAGGCACACTTGAATGGGGGAGCAGTGAGGTGGTGTGGGCTAGCCGGCCAGAACCCAGGGGTGGGGCGGTAGGAACCAGCATAGCAGAGGCCATTAAGGCTGGGAAGCATAGTGTCTGGGGCCCATAACAGTGCTTGAACGTGAATGCTTTAGACCTAAGACAATTGGCTCCTAAATGTGAAAACTGCAAGCCTGAAATGAATGCATGTTTAATGCTTTGCAACATTGTCAAGTGGTTAGCTGCCACTCCGTTCTGAGGGCATGATGCCTGAGATATGCCTGTAATGGAGGTTGATTTTAATGAATTTAATATGGTGTGGAGTGGGACCTTCAAAAGTAAAAATGTCCATTCTAAGTTGGTTGCGGGGGTCTGGGCAAAGGTCTTAAAACACTGTGGTAAACACCCCAATTTTAAAACAGGGCCTTTTTTCCAAGAGACTTTTTGAAAATAGCTCCTATTTTGAGGGGAGGAACCCTGTCAGGAGAGAGCCAGAGTTAAGCCCAGCTGAGAGGGGGTTGGCAGGCAGGGGTCTGCCTGGTCCTCACTGAAGCTTGCTACTCAGGGTGAGCTTCCTAAACCAATGCAGATTTGCTGGCCCACTGAGCCTCCCAGCTGAGAACATGCATTTCAACAAGGTCCTCAGTGCAGCAAAGTTTGAGATATACTGGGCTAGAACACCCAGGGGACACAAAGGTTCTTTGAAAACTAAGGAAAATAGGCAGGGTGTGGTGGCTAATGCCTGTAATCCTTGTATTTTGGGAGGCCAAGGTGGGTGGATCACTTGAGGTCAGGAGTTCGAGACCAGCCTGGACCAACATGGTGAAACACCATCTCTACAAAAGATACAAAAATTAGCCAGGTGCAGTGGCAGATACCTGTAGTCCCAGCTACATGGGGAGCTGAGACAGGAGAATCGATTGAACCTGGGAGGCGGAAGTTGCAGTGGCCCGAGATCGCACCACTGCACTCCAGTCTGGTGACAGAGTGAGACTCCATCTAAAAAAGTAAAAAATAAAATAAATAAAAATAAATACTGGGCTAGAAGACCCAGGAGACCCAAAGATTACCTCAAAACTAAGGAAAATAATCTAGGTCACAAATATATTCTCTTTCTCCTTCTCCCCATTGCCCCCCTCCACCAGTAATCTTTATACACTCAAATAGAGTTGATGTTCTATAATCAATTCTAGTGACTTTTATTTATATTTATTTATTTTAGAGATGGGGGTCTCACTATGTTGCTCAGGCTGGTCTCAAATTCCTGGGCTCAAGTGATCCACACACCTCGGTCTCCCAAAGTGCTGGGATTACAGGAATCAGCCACTGCACCTGGCCATCACTTTTATTTTTGATGTTCAAATTCTAAGCTAATGTCTGTGAGACCATAGATTCTTTTTATGCACTCAATACATTTTTGTGTTTACCTTACATTTTTATTATGGAAAAGATTCTGTTTTTTCCAACTTGTTTCTATTTGATAATGAAGCTCTCTGTGCCTATCACCAGCCTCAGCCGCCATCATCTCATTACCAAGCTGGGTTATTTTGAAGCAAATATCTTCAATATTTAGCCAGTCTTCAAATTTCCCCAACCATCCTAAATGAGTGTTTAGAATAGTTATTTCATTGGAAACAAGGTCAAAACAAGTACATTTTACATTTTTAGGCCAGTCTTGAAAGTAAGGATAAAACCATGTGTGGGGTAGGAGGTGGGACTAGCCTCTCAAGGTGGGGCCTGGATACCAGACCCAATTGAGGACTAGCTAAGACAGATTCCACAATGAATAACACCAGGAGGTGGGAATATTAAGGTCTATTGCAAAGGTTGTCTACCACAATTATTTGATCAACTAGTTATCAACCCTGACTGCAGCTGAGAGAGATTTGTTTTTGCTTTTTTTTTTTTTTTTTTTTCAGAGACAGGGTCTTGTTGTGTTGCCCAGGCTGGACTCAAACTCCTGGGTTCAAATGATTCTTCTGCCTCAGTCTCCCGAGTAGCTGAGACTACAGGTGTGTGCCACTGTGCCCAGCAAGATATTAAAAAATACTTATGCGAGGACACCACTCTAAACCAACTAAATCAGAATCAGATATAGTGAAGTCATTAATCATTTTGCTCCTGGGTCTTTATGACAGTTTTGCTCCTAGGAAACTCCTGGGAATGTGGTAGAGAGAGAGAAAGAGATGGGAAAATAAGATTTTAAGAAGTGTTGCTATGCATTTTGAAAATAGTTTTTCTTTGGTGTTTGTCTTGAGGGACGGCGGTAAACATTTCAATTGCCTTTAAGTATGCTTGCATGCTGGAATGATGGCTCTTTGAATGCGGCATCGAACTGGGATTGGGCCACATGGCAGCCAGCATGAGCCTTTATGCCACATTTATAAAACATGAATGTCATGAGCCCACTCTCAGGGACCTTACAATTTGGAGGATTAGGTCAGATCCACAAGTCTCCTCTATCTCATGGTAAAGGAAACCTGGCATGTAGCAGGAGATGGTGTGAAACAATATCATATTGCATAATCAATATTTGTATTCTTCTTAGCAATATTAAACTTTTTGACCCCCTCCATTGTGTCATCAATCTGCTTAATACAGTTTCTGCTTCAGCGTCGGTTTTTCGGCCTGGCATAAGCTGTTTGAAACCCAGGCACGTACCCTGCCCATCATCTTTGGCCTAGTTAACACCTCCCCTCCCTGAGTGGTGGTTTGGAGAACCTGCTTGTTCCTCATCCCACTGATCCCAAACCCAGGACACCCCACAGCTGCTGACCAGGATTAAACGTAACGGAGATTTAATGCCTTTCTTCTGATTCTCAGGGACTGACATTCATTCACTTAAATACTTGCAGAGTCAGCCAGGCATGGTGGCTCACACATGTAATCCCAGCACTTTGGGAGGCTGAGGTGGGTGGATCACGAGGTCAAGATTTCGAGACCAGCCTGGCCAACATGATGAAACCCCATCTCTACTAAAAATACAAAAATTAACTGGTGTAGCAGTGCGTGCCTGTAATCCCAGCTACTCAGGAGGCTGAGGCAGGGGATTTGCTTGAACCTGGGAGGTGGAGGTTGCAGTGAGCCAAGATTATGCCATTACACTCCAGCCTGGGCAGCAGAGTGAGACTCTGTCTCAAAAAACAAAAAACCCAAAAACTTGCAGAGTGAATTTAAGAAACCATGAAGTCCAGAGTTTGATCCAATCTCTTCCTTTTTCTCTTTCTCAAATATTTTCAGCCAGGTACTATTCTAGATTGTCTTGTGATATTTACAATCTAGGAGAAGGCAGGAGAGAGAACTAAGAACAGAGAGCATGTTCTGAGATGTCTGCTGTGTTTGCAGGTACCTTCCCTCAATTTCCCTACTCATTGGCCATGCTAGAAAGCAGGTCTTGGCGCCATATTTGTACCATGGTACTTCCCCTCCCTATACTCAATTGGTTGGCCAGAAGCCCAATTGTCATTCTCTCTCTCTCTCTCTCTCCCTCTCCCTCTCTCCCTCTCCCTCCCTCCCTCTCCAAGATATCCAGTAACTGACTGATCAGCTGGTGGTGGGTTCTGCTGGCTGCCATGATGGGCCACCAGCAAAAAGGGAAAATTGGTTGTGAGTGAGAGAAGCGGAGATAAGAAAGGCCACAGGGCTGAAAAGAAAGACCATGGGCTGCCGGGTGCTGTGGCTCAAGCTTGTAATCCCAGCACTTTGGGAGGCCAAGATGGGCGGATCATGAGGTCAGGAGATCGAGACCATCCTGGCTCACACGGTGAAACGCCATCTCTACTAAAAATACAAAAAATTAGCCAGGTGTGGTGGCGGGTGTCTGTAGTCCCAGCTAGTTGGGAGGCTGAGGCGGGAGAATGGCATGAACCCCGGGAGGTGGAGCTTGCAGTGAGCTGAGATCGCACTACTGCACTCCAGCCTGGGCGACAGAGCAAGACTGCGTCTCAAAAACAAAAACAAAAAAAAAGGAGACCATGGGCTTCTGAGAGCCAGAAAGAGGCATTTTGGTTTCTGTAACTGCTGTTTCCATTCTCTCATGGCCTCTCATTTATTTCTCGTGCTCATGAGTTTGCCTGTTAGAGATAAGGTATGCTCCTTTCCCTCCAGCTCATGCAAATGGATTTGTTTCTTACAATCATTGTTCCCAGATATGGATGGTGAATGATGCTCTACTAAATGTTGAAAAAAAGCAGAGTGGAAGCACAGAAAAGAGGGCTTCTCTGAGGAGGTGACGTTGGAGCCCGGTTGGAAGGCAGGAGTAAATGTGCACCATGATTTTTTAGGATTAAAACGAAGTATCTCACTGCTTGGGCACATGCAGATAGATGTGATTTAACAATAAACTGTCCCAGTTGTACCCATTGTCAGTTACCTCACCACAGGGATTATGTAGCCCTGAGTTTGCTTAGTGCTTATTTATTTTAGGTTGTTGTTTATCCAAACCTCTTAAATGATATGCGTTTGGAACAAGTGACAGCATCATTCATTGATGTCGTGGACAAACCACTATTTTATTACTCAAGACTGGGTAATTTTAAAGAAAAAGAGATTTAATGGGCTCACAGTTCCATGTGGCTGAAGAAGCCTCCAAATCATGGTGGAAGGCAAAAGGCACATCTTACATGGTGGCAGACAAAAGTGATGAGAGCTATTTTGGTCATTGTTCACTGGCCATAGAATTTACTTCTATATTTTGAACTAAGACAAGAGCCAGGCACACTAGATGGGTACAGGTCTGTCTTTTGTTTTTGATGATGATGATGATGATGATGATGATGATGATGATGAAATGGCTGACATGGTTGATGACTTGCTTTTTCTCATCATCTCAGACTTAGATTTTTGGCTGGACTATTGGCTTGGGATAGATGAAAATCATTCCTTGTATCCCCTGATCTTAAAGTCAAGACTGAACCAGCCTCCAGATGCAAGCCTTCATGGGGCTTCAGATACCATGAGGAATGGGCGTCCCTGCAATATTGTCATGGCTGTCAAAAGTGTTATTGGAGCTGGGCAAGTGGGCGCTCTCCTGACATTCCATCCTGCTTAGATTTCCCATTCAACATCAATCTTATTTCCTTTTTTTTTTTTTTTTTTTTTGACAGAGTCTCACTCTGTCTCCTAGGCTGGAGTGCAGTGGTGGGATCTCGGCTCACTACAATCTCCACCTCCCAGGTTTAAGTGATTCTTGTGCCTCAGCCTCCCAAGTAGCTGGGATTGCGGGTGCACACCATCAAGCCTCTCTCTCTTTTTTTTTTTTTTTTTTTTTTTTTGGATTTTTAATAGAGACAGGGTTTCGCCATGTTGGCCAGGCTGGTCTTGAACTCCTGACCTCAAGTGATCCACCTACCTTGGCCTCCTAAAGTGCTGAGATTACAGGTGTGAGTCACCCTACCTGGCCCCATTTCCTCTTATACCATAAGTCATTGCCTGCAGATGTGTTTTCTCCATTAGTTTGCAAAAGCTTCCTGAGAGTAGGTCTGTGCCTCATTTATTCTGGAATCTTCCTGGCACAAAGCACAGGGCTTTATCCTCAGTAAGCATTCAACAAATGTTTAATTTCATTCAACAGCTCCTCTTACCACTGCCCCCACCTTATTTGCAGGTGGCTAAGTACAATCAGAACAAGTAGGTATCATAAGATTTAGTCCAGAATCAATTTGGGAAGAAATTACTTTAGTGATATGAAAAGAAACCAAGCTATTTAGTCGGAATACTTCTGAGAGTATCCCCTGTCCAAGCATTTGCTGAATTTCGATCTACTAATTTTCAGGTGGAACAGTATGGTTGCAGAGAGTCCATTTGGACATAGATACACTTTCATGCATTCATGTCTTCAACAATAATTTGTGGCCCTACTGTGTTTGTTCACTAACTCCTTCGAAACTACCATATAAGCTATATCTTTATTTTCCTTGTAATTTGGGAGGTCCAGTGCTTCATTAAGCTCACATGCCTGAAACTAATGAAGAAAATAGCTCGTTAACCAGCTAGTATAAAAATAGCCACCAAAACAAGTCAATCACCCACCTTAAATCAGCCCAGTACTCCCATCTTGAGCGGAGAAGCCCATTCTGAATCACAGTCAAGACAGTGATGGAAAAACAGCTCTCTCTGGGTATCAAAACCACGCTCGCCCCAAATCCTCCTCCCCAGAGTTCTACTCATTGCTCACCCACTGAACCCAGAACAAACCAGAAGTGCTTGAAATGAGGACGAGTAGCTCCGTGTACCAATCGGAATTTAAAACAATCAAGTCCTGCTATAGACGTGAGGCTTCTCCCCAGCACCAGCATTCCATGAAGGCAGCCCTTTTCTAGATGGAGAAAACAGAACCTGAAGGCACCCGTTTCCCTAAACTGCTCTCACTCATGTGTAAGTACAAATGAAAAATGCTGACGCTGCTTCTGTTGGCATTGATTTTTAATTATGGCCATGAATAAATCATTTTATCCTTGAACAAGACTTGAGAATGGCCCGAAGGCAGAGGCACGATTCCTTAGGAATTAGGCCAACAGAGAATGGGCTATCTCTCTTCCCACCCCTTCTTTTTTTTTTTTTTTTTTAATACTTTAAGTTTTAGGGTACATGTGCACTTTGTGCAGGTTAGTTACATATGTATACATGTGCCATGCTGGTGTGCTGCACCCACTAACTCGTCATCTAGCCTTAGGTATATCTCCCAATGCTATCCCTCCCCCCTCCCCCCACCCCACCACAGTCCCCAGAGTGTGGTATTCCCCTTCATGTGTCCATGTGATCTCATTGTTCAATTTCCACCTATGAGTGAGAATATATGGTGTTTGGTTTTTTGTTCTTGCGATAGTTTACTGAGAATGATGATTTCCAATTTCATCCATGTCCCTACAAAGGACATGAACTCATCATTTTTTATGGCTGCATAGTATTCCATGGCGTATATGTGCCACATTTTCTTAATCCAGTCTATCATTGTTGGACTTTTGGGGTTCTGCTGACACAGTTTTACCCCAGCCTGCCTTGATGGCCACTGCCACACAAGCTGCATCTGTTCTTTCTTCTGCGCCTTTTGTTACTTCGTTGTTTTTCTTCTTTCTAGTGTAGTGAGCTGAATGGTGGCTTTGCACAAGATATATCCAGATCCTTGTGCCTAGAATCTGTGGAGGTGGCATTATTTGGAAAAAGGGTCTTTGCAGATGTAATTAAGTTAAGGATCTTGAGATGAGATTCTCCTGGAGTATTTTAGGTAGGCTGTACATCTAAAGACAAATGTCCTTATAAGAGGACACTTTTGTCCGGGCACAGTGGCTCATGCCTGTAATCCCAGCACTTTGGGAGGCTGAGGTGAGTGGATCACCTGAGGTCAGGACTTCGAGACCAGCCTGACCAACATGGAGAAACCCCATCTCTACTAAAAATACAAAATTAGCCGGGCATGGTGGCGCGTGCCTGCAATCCCAGCTACTGGGGAGGCTGAGGCAGAAGAGTTGCTTGAACCCAGGAGGAGGAGGTGGCAGTGAGGTGAGGTCATGCCATTGCACTCCAGCCTGGGCAACAAGAGTGAAACTCCATCTCAAAAAAAAAAAAGAAAAATGAAGGACACTGTTTTTCACGTGCATCCGTGTGAAGAGACCACCAAACAGGCTTTGTGTGAGCAATAAAGCTGTTTATTTCACCAGGGTGCAGGCAGGCTGAGTCCAAAAAGAGAGTCAGTGAAGGGAGATAGGGGTGGGGCTGTTTTATAGGATTTGGGTAGGTAAAGGAAAAAGGGGTTGTTCTCTGGCAGGCAGGAGTGGTGGGGGTCACAAGGTGCTCAGTAGGGGAGCTTTTGAGCCAGGATGAGCCAGGAGAAGGAATTTCACAAGATAATGTCATCAGTTAAGGCAGGAACAGGCCATTTTCATTTATTTTGTGGTGGAATGTCATCAGTTAAGGCAGGAACCGGCCATCTGGATGTGTACGTGCAGGTCACAGGGGATATGATGGCTTAGCTTGGGCTCAGAGGCCTGACGTTCCTGTCTTCTTATATTAACAGGAAAAATAAAACGAAATAGTGGTAAAGTGTTGGGACGGCGAAAATTTTTGGGGATGGTATGGAGAAGTAATGGGCGATGTTTCTCAGGGCTGCTTTGAGCGGGATTAGAGGCAGCGTTGGAACCTAGAGTGGGAGAGATGAAGCTGAAGGAATATTTTGTGGTAAGGGGTGATATTGTGGGGTTGTTAGAAGAAACATTTGTCATTTAGAATTATTGATGATGGCTTGGATACAGTTTTGTATGAATTAAAAACTAAACAGAATAAGAGAAGGAGAAAAGCAGGTATTAAAGGACTAAGAATTGGGAGGACCTAGGACATCTAATTAGAGAGTGCCTAAGGAGGTTCAGCATAGCCTTGCCAGCAAAGATTATTTAAGAGTTAAGAGTGGCGGTTTGGGCATAGCACCAGGAGCTATCAGCTGCGATGGCTTGGAGAAACAGTGTAAACTGGCAGTGTAAACAAGAGCAGGGCATGTATGAGTAGTTGAGAACGGTGAATAGGAGTATGACTAGAGAGAAGATAGTAGGGATGACAAGTTTTTTGGGGCACATTCCAAGTTGGTGTGGTGTCTGGAATGAGACTGGGGCCTAATAAAAAGGAGCATCTATACAGGAGCTTAAATGGGCTGTACCTTGTAGCATTCCAAGGACAGGCTTGAATTCTGAGAAGGGAAAGTGGTAAAAGTATTGTCCAGTCCTTTTTAAGTTGGTGGCTGAGATTGGTGAGGTGTGTTTTTAAAAGACCATTAGTCTGTTCTACCTTTCCTGAAGACTGAGGACTGTAAGGGATATAAAGGTTTCACTGAATACTAAGAGCCTGAAAAACTGCTTGGCTGATTTGACTAATAAAGGCCGGTCTACTATTGGATTGTATAGAGGTGGGAAGGCCAAACTGAGGAATTATGTCTGACAGAAGGGAAGAAATGACCGTGGTGGCTTTCTTAGGCCCTGTGGGAAAGGCCTCTACCTATCCAGTGAAAGTGTCTACCTAGACCAAGAGGTATTTTAGTTTCCTGACTCAGGGCACGTTGAGTAAAGCTAATTTGCCAGTCCTGAGTGGGGGCAAATCCCTGAGCTTGATGTGTAGGGAAGGGAGGGGGCCTGAATAATCCCTGAGGAGTAAAAGAATAGCAGATGGAACACTGAGAAGTTATTTCTTTGAGGATAGATTTCCACGCTGGAAAGGAAATGAGAGGTTCTAAGAGGCGGGCTAGTGGCTTGTACTATAGGATAGCCTGCCTTTGCTGGTGTGTGGCAATTAGGCCTGGTGGAACTGCCATCAATAAACTAAGTGTGATCAGGGTGAGAAGCAGGAAAGAAGGAAATGTGGGGAAATGGGGTGAATGTCAGGTGGATCAGAGAGATACAGTCATGAGGGTCAGGTGTGGTATCAGGAATAATGTGAGAGGCTGGATTGAAGTCCGGGCCAGGAACAATGGTAATTGTGGGAGACTCAACAAAGAGTGAGTACAGCTGAAGGAGCCAGGGAGCAGAAAGTATATGCGTCAGGTGTGAGGAAGAAAATAGATTTTGGAAATTATGAGAGCTGTAGAGAGTGAGTTGAGCATAGTTTGTGATTTTAACGACCTCTAAAAGTATTAGGGCAGCAGCAGCCACTGCACAGAGACATAATGGCCAGCCTAAAACAGTAAGGTCAAGTTGTTTGGACAAAAAGGCTACAGGAAGCAATCCTGGTCCTTGTGTAAGAATTTCGACTGCACAGCGCTGCACTTTGGCTGTGTGTAATGAAAAGGGTTGGGATGAGTCAGGGAGAGCTAGGGTAGGGGCAGTCTTTAAAGCTGTCTTCAAGGAACTGAAAGAGGAGTGGGGAAAGGATTTAGGATCTATGGAGTAAGCTAGGTTTCCTTTTTTGAGTTTATATAATGGTTTTGTTAGGGTGGCAATACCAGGTATCTAAAGGCAAAAGTATCCAACCATGCCCAGGAAGGAAAGGAGTTGTTGTTTTGTAGCTGGGGTTGGGGTTTGAGAGATTAGTTGGACACGATCGGCAGGGAGAGCATGTGTGTTTTTATGAGAATTATGCTGAGATAGGTAATAGATAAGGAAGAAATTTGGCCTTGACTGAAGTAATAGGGGCTGTCTGTGAAGCTCTGCGGCAGTACAGCCCAGGTAATTTGCTGAGCCTGATGGGTGTCAGGGTCAGTCCAAGTGAAAGCAAAGAGAGGCTGGGATGAAGGGTGCAAAGGAATAGTAAAGAAAGCATGTTTGAGATCCAGAACAGAATAATGGGTTGTGGAGGGAGGAATTGAGGATAGGAGAGTATATGCATTTGGCACCATGGGGTGGATGGTTTTAGGACAGGTAAAATGGGGGAATTGTAAGGAGAGTTTATAGGCTTTAAAAGGCTATGCTGTAGCAGGCAAGTGATAACAGGCTTTAATCCTTTCAAAGCATGCTGTGGGATGGGATATTGGCATTGAGCGGGGTAAGGGTGATTAGGTTTTAATGAGATGGTAAGGGGTGCATGATCGGTCGCCAAGGAGGGAGTAGAGGTATCTTCTACTTGTGGGTTAAGGTGGGTGGCAATGAGATGTAGCTATAGTCCAGGAATAGTCAGGGAAGCAGATAATTTAGTTAAAGTGTCTCAGCCTAATAAGGGAACTGGGCAGGTGGGGATAACTAAAAAGGAGTGCTTAAAAGAGTATTGTCTAAGTTGGCACCAGAGTTGGGGAGTTTTAAGAGGTTTAGAAGCCTGGCTGTCAATAACCACAACAGTTATGGAGGCAAGGGAAACAGGCCCTTGAAAAGAAGGTAATGTGGAGTGGGTAGCCTCCATATTGATTAAGAAGGGGACGGACTTACCCTCCACTGTGAGAGTTACCTAGAGCATCTGTGATGGTCCTGTAGGCTTCCGAAGTGATCGATCAGGCAGTGTCAGTCTTCAGCTGCTAAGCCAAGAAGATCTGGGAAGGAGTCAGTCAGAGAGCCTTGGGCCAGAGTTCCAGGGGCTCTGGGAGTGGCTGTCAGGTGAGTTGAACAGTCCAATTTCTAGTGGGGTCCCACACAGATGGGACATGGCTTAGGAGGAATCCCGGGTTGTGGGCATTCTTTGGCCAGATTTCTGGCACTAGTAGCAAGCTCCTGGGGGAGGCGGTTCTGGAGGAACACCTGGCCACTGCACTTTAGGCGTTTGGAAGTTCTTGTGTGCTGGAGATGTGGCTGGGGTTTGTCTCACAGTGGAGGCAAGGAATTACAACTCAGAAATATGTTGCTACTTTGCTGCCTCTACTCTATTATTGTACACCTTGAAGGCGAGGTTAATTAAGTCCTGTTGTGGGGTTTGAGGGCCGGAATTTAATTTTCAGAGTTTTATTTAATATTGGGAGCAGATTGGGTAATACAATGTATATTGAGAATAAGACGGCCTTTTGACCTTTTAGGGTCTAGGGCTGTAAAGCATCTCAGGGTTGCTGCCAAATGAGCCATGAACTGGGCTGGATTTTTATATTTGATGAAAAAGAGCCTAAACCCTATCTGATTTGGGATAAAGAAAAAGGAGCATTAACCTTGACTATGCCTTTAGCTCCAGCCACCTTTTTCAGAGGAAATTGCTGGGCAGGTTGGGGAGGGCTAGTCATGGAACGAAACTGTAAGCTGGACCCGGTGTGAGGAGGGGAGGTGATAAAAGGATTATAGGGTGGAGGAGCGGAGGCTGAGGAAGAATTGGGGCCTAGCTTGGCCTGGTGAGGAGGGGAGAGGTCAGATTGGTCTGTAGAAAAGGAAGATTACAAAGACTCAGTGACGCTTGGGGTTGGGACTGAGGGGACAGGTGGGAGGGAAAGAAGGAAGATTTGGGATGAGTTGCACTGGGAACAGACTAGGGAGGGACCGATGTGTAAAAGAATGCCTGGGCATCAGTCACCTCAGACCGTTTGCCCATTTTACGACAAGAATTATCTAGATCTTGTAGGTTGGAAAAATTGAAAGTGCCATTTTCTGGCTATTTGGAACTACTGTTGAGTTTGTATTGGGGTCAAGTGGCATTGTGGAAGAAAATAAGGCATTTAGGTTTTAGGTCAGGTGTGAGTTGAAAAGATTTTAGGTTTTTAACACAGGCTAGGGGAGAAGAAGGGGGAATGGAGGGCAGAAGCTTGCCCATAGTGAAGGAGGCAAGCCTAGAGAAAAGAGAGAGTAGAGACACAGAGAGAAGGGGTGGGGGGTTCTTGCCTTCCCGAAAAGTGGGAAAGGGGTCAGTGTGCAGAAATAAAGGGTTGTGATGCAGAGCTAAGAGGTCAGGGCACAGAAATAAGGGGTTGGGGTGCAGAGATAAGAGGTCAGGTCGTGGAAATAAGGGATTGGGTCACAGAGATAAGAGGTTGGGGCATGGAAATAAGGGATCGGGCCACAGAGATAAGAGGTTGGGGCACAGAAATAAGGGATCGGGGCACTGAGATAAGAGGGGGTTCCTTCCCCTCCCCCAGAAAAGTGGGACTTGCTGCTAAGGGTGAAGGAGAAGGGGTTGAGGGGTTCTTGCCCCTTCCCCCAGAAAAGTGGGACTTGCCACTAAGGGTGAAGGACAAAGGCAGGCATCCCTGCGTGGTCTGACACCTCTGAAACCTGGGTGAATAATCACAGAGGTGTCCCTGCAATGATTAAACACCAAGGAAAAGCTGCCTTCCCTAGTCCGTGACAGGCGCCAGAGTTTTGGGTCCACGGATAAAATGTGTCTCCTTTGTCTCTACCAGAAAATGAAAGGAATTGAAATTAAGAGAAGGGAGAGATTGAAGTGTGGCATCAAGATTGAAAGGAGAAAGAGGTTGAGGGATAGTGAGGGAGGTTGGAGAAGAGAGTAAAAAGAAGCTGCTTACCGGATTGGAAATTGGTGAGATGTTCTTGGGCTGGTCAGCCTGAGGACTTGAGGTTGTAGGTGGATCTTTCTCACAGAGCAAAGAGCAGGAGGACAGGGGATTGATGTCCCAAGGTAGGTCCCCCGATCCGAGTTATGACACCAAATTTCACATGGGTCCGTGTGAAGAGACCACCAAACAGGCTTTGTGTGAACAATAAAGCTGTTTATTTCACCTGGGTGCAGGTGGACTGAGTCTGAAAAGAGTGAGCGAAGGGAGATGGGGTGGGGCCATTTTATAGGATTTGGGTAGGTAAAGGAAAAAGGGGGGTTCTCTGGCAGGCAGGAGTGGGGGTCACAAGGTGCTCAGTAGGGGAGCTTCTGAGCCAGGATGAGCCAGGAGAAGGCATTTCACAAGATAATGTCATCAGTTAAGGCAGGAACTGGCCATCTGGATGTGTACGTGCAGGTCACAGGGGATACGATGGCTTAGCTTGGGCTCAGAGGCCTGACACTCTTCCTCCAGAGGAGGAGACCCATACAGAAGAGGAGAAGAGGAGGAGGCAAGGTGATCACAGAGGCAGAGATTGGATCATGCAGCCACAAGTTGAGGAAATCTAGTAGCCTCTACAAGCTGGAAGAGGCAAGGAATGGATTCTCCCCTAGAACCTCTGAAGGAGCATAGTCCTGCTGACATTTGATTGATTTTGGACTTCTGGCCTCCAGACATTTTTTTTTTCTTTTTTTTTTTAGAAAGAGCCTTGCTCTGTTGCCCAGTCTGGAGTGCAGTTGCACGATCTTGATTCACTGCATCCTCCACTTCCTGGGCTCAAGCCATTCTCTTGCCTCAGCCTCCCAAGTAGCTGGGCTACAGGTGCCTGCCACCATGCATGGCTAATTTTTGTATTTTTAGTAGAGATGAGGTTTTGCCATATTGGCCAGGCTGGTCTTGAATTCCTGGCCTCAGGTGATCCACCCACCTCAGCCTCCCAAAGTGCTGAGATTATTTAGGTGTGAGCCACAGCACCAGGCCCAGACATTGTTTGAAGCCACCCATTTCATGGTTCTTTGCTGCAGTGGTTGTGGAATATGAATGCACTCATGCTGTTGGTTGGACTTTGTTGACCTTGTTTCTGTTATTCCCTGGCAGTTCTACAGGGCCTGGAGCTGATACGAAAAACCTCCCTTCTTTCCCAAATGGTCCCCAGCTTCCCCGTTCACTGAAGGCCCTGCAGTCGGGAACAGTCAGGACTTTGCACCCAGTTGTTGTGGGTGTTTGGCCAACCCTTCCTCTTGTGTGATTCATGGACCTGCAGCATTGCGTCACCTGTGAGCTTTTGGAATTGAAGACTCTCAGGGCTCACCCGGGAGGACCTGCTGGGCCAGAATCTGCATTTTAACAAGATGCCTGGGTGATCTGCATACACGTTCAGATCTGAGAAGTGCTGGTAGGAGAGGCTTTAAGGTGGTAATTAGATCTTTTCTCCACCTACAAGAATCTTAGTTTCTTCATGTTAAATCTATTAACTGTGGCAATGGCATGGGGGTTATAAAACAAAACAAAACAAAACCCTTACATCAAGAATGCACCCTGGTGTGTTATGGATGTGGGTGAAATGAAATGTCTGGAATTTGCTTTAAAATATTGTAAAATAGCAAGAAGGAAAAGAAAAGCGGGAACTGGAATGAGATTGGCGAGATGTTGACAAGTTCTTGCAGTGGGATGATGGGTGAATGGGGGTTCATGGTGCAATTCTCTCCCTGCTTTTTGTGCCTATGGGAAATTTCCATAACGAAAAGTTAGAGGTCAGGCACGGTGGCTAATGCCTGTAATCTCAGCATTTTGGGAGGCTGAGGTGGGTAGATCACTTGAACCTAGGAGTTCAAGACCATCCTGGACAACATGGCGAAACCCCATCTCTACTAAAAATGCAAAAATTAGCCAGGCATGGTGACAACATGCCTGTAGTCATGTTGAGGCACAAGGTCGAGGCATGAGAATCACTTGAACCCAGGAGGCGGAGGTTGCAGTGAGCCGAGATCGCACCATTACACTCCAGCCTGGGCGACAGAGTGAGACTTGGTCTCAAAAAATTTTTTAATTTTCTTTTTTCTTTTATTTTTTGTTTTGAGATGGAGTCTTGCTCTTTTGCCCAGGCTGGAGTGCAGTGGCATGATCTTGGCTCACTGCAAACTCCACCTCCTGAGTTTACTCCATTCTTCTGCCTCAGCCTCCAGAGTAGCTGGGACTATATGAACCCACCACCATGTCCGGCTAATTGTTTGTATTTTTAGTACAGATGGGGTTTCACTGTGTTAGGATGGTCTTGATCTCCTGACCCCGTGATCTGCCCACCTTGGCCTCCCAAAGTGCTGAGATTACAGGCATGAGCCATTGTGCCTGGCCTTAATTTTATTTAATTTTTTTCTTTGTTGAGACAGGATCTCACTCTGTAGCCCAGGCTGGAGTGCAGTGTTGTGATCCCGGTTCACTGCAGCCTCTACCTCCTGTGTTCAAGCAATCCTCCCACCTCAGCCTCCTGAGTAGCTGAGACCACAGGCATGTATCATCACACCTGGCTAGTTTTTTCCCTTTTTCTAGAGGCAAGGTCTTGCTATGTTGCCCAGGCCGGTCTTGAACTCCTGAGCTCAAGCAATCTTCCCGTCTTAGCATGGGAGTAATCCCAAAGTGCTGGGATTACAGGTGTGAGTCACTCTACCCAGCCTCAACTGTTTTTTGTGACTCCACTTTTTCTCCCCCTTGGAAATGAGTAGTCTTTGAGGGAATGTCTTTTTTGTCTCAATCTCTGGTTTCTTTGCTCAGTGCACCTGTGTCTGGCGCTTTGTTGATCTCCAGGCCTTTTTCAGCAGCTTTGTCCCTGGAGAGCAGGATGGCAGCTGATGGCTTCTCAGCATTTTTTAACTCAGTTTAAGATGACTATCAACAACATCTAGTCAGCATCTGTTGCTCTCGGCAGCTGGGACTCTATTTCCTTTCTCTTTCTCCACCTCTCTAACCTCTTTAAGACTCTGGCTTTGTCATGGGTACAGCATCACCTGTGTGGCCCTTAGGCTCTCTTACTTACATGTGATCTGCGTATTATGTCTGGCTTCTCAACCAGGGTGTGATTTTGCTCCCCAGAGAACATGTGCCCATGTCTGGAGAGTTTTGGTTGTTGCAGCTGGAGGAGGTGGTGCTACTGGCATCTAATGGGTAGAGGCCACGGATGCTGCTAAACATCCTACAATGCCCCGGACAACTCCCACTAAGACAAAGTAATGATCCAGCCCCAAATGTCAATAGTGCTGAAAGTGAGAGACCCTGATTCCATCTTAGAGCTTAGAGATCATCCAAGCACATTTGGCCAAATTGTTTTTGCTACTGTCCCATGAAAAAAAGACAGACTCATGACTGATGGCAACATCGATGGGAATTTTGTTTACCTCTTCTTGGTGGACTTTGGGATACCATCACTTACCATTTATGCAAGTTGTACATTGCACACCTCCAGGGGGCGCCACCCACATATTTATGAAAATGCCGCCCCAGGAATTGCACAGTACACAGTCTGTGGCTTATGGCTATAAGCAGTTGCTCTGGTTTTGGGGTTGCCCTGGGGTGCTCTGAAACTGAGAGGAACTTTATTTCTGGCCATTAGAGGCCCTGAGCATGACATTGAGTATCCTTTCAAGAAAGGAGAAAGGTTGAACAGAGAGGACCTCATTTTTATAACTCTTGACCATCATCTAGTTACGGAGCATCCACTTTTCACCCCTGGGCCATATCCATTTGACGGATGTAAAATGATTAAATTATAATATCATGGTTTACACTTTTGATAGCTTCTGCCCGGAACATGGCGGTAAGATCCTCTCATTTTCAATTGATTCATTGGGGGAGAAAATATACACGGCTGCCCTAAGACTTTCTATTACACACCATTTGCTTGACGGGATTTCTTTAGTTTCTGTAGCATAACTTATTCTAACTGGTCCTCAATCACTTTGCAATAAAAAGTGAGATTGTGAAAATGTTCATTGTCATTACCAGTGATGGAGCAGTAAGTACAGAGTTCTGGAGAGGGAAGGAATCGAGAGATTTAAACTAGCGGAATGAGCCGCTCACCCTCAGAATTGCTTTTATTCTTGGTGAGAACTGAGGGGAATTTCGACAGGGTTCAGCGGGACTGCAGGGAGTGGGGCTGGGAGGTGGCTGTTTGCACGTGTGGTCAGCACATCCAGTGAGGGGGTCCATGTACTGTGGGCAGCCCCACAGATGGAGTTGGGATTGCCCTGGACTGAGTACTGGGTCATCAGACTGCAAACTGCCATTCTCAAGACATCGAGTCCCAGGCTGGTGCAGGAGATACATTGCAGTGTGTCAGCCTTTCTTCCATCGCTCCTCTCCAATGACAGTTCCCGATTTTCCACCGAGGAGTCACTAGTACCCCACGGCATGTGTGCGACTGGCCACTCCCCACCCTGATCTGGGGCTGGGGCATGTGGTCCCAGCCTGGATGTCAATATCCTTCCACCACCCTGGCCACAGCGATTGGGTCTGAGAAGCAGATTAGCCAAAGGAGAGACAATCTTGGAAATTTCATGTTCATGCTTAAGAAAGTAAAATGGAAAGCGAGGGGAGGGTGAGGGGTCATTCTGATGATACAGTTTGAGGACCTGGATGTAGCCACACCTGTAGCTGTCAACTCTGTGCCATAGTACTGCTTTTTATTTTTTTTCCTTCAAATTTAAATACTTTCTAGAGGCAAGGTCTTTCTATGTTGCTTGGGCTGGTTTTGAAAAGTCTCTTTTGGGGGGATGCTTTCACTGCTTCACTTCCTTTCTATGACAGCTCAGGGAATCAGAAGACAAGGGAGATGACTTTTTTTTTTTTTTTTGAGACAGGGCTTGCTCTATTGCCCAGGCTGGAGTGCAGTGGTGCAATCACAGCTCACCACAGCCTTGATCTTCTGGAATCAAGCGACCCTCCTGCTTCAGCCTCCTGAGTAGCTGGGCCTGTAGGCGGGTACCACCATGCCCAGCTAATTAATTTTTTTTTTTTTTTTTTTTAAGAAATGAGATCTCAGTATGTCACCCAGGCTGGCCTCAAACTCCTGAGCTCAAGCGATTGCCCTGCCTTAGGTTCCCAAACTTACAGGTGTGAGTCCCCACACCAGTCAACACTGTGGTCTTATGCACCCGGTGTCCCCATAGGCCCTGAGCAATGATCCTCCTGCTTCAACTTCCCGAAATACTGGGATAACAGATGTGAAGCACCATGTGTGGCCCACATAGTATTCTTATGGGTTAAATTGAGTCCTCCTCAAAAGATGTTGAAATCCTAAATTCTTGTAGCTGAGAATGTGATCTTATTTAGAAATACTTATTGCAGGCCGGGCATCGTGGCTCACACCTGTAAACCCAGCACTTTGGGAGGCCGCTGTGGGTGGATCACCTGAGGTCAGGAGTTTGAGACCAGCCTGACCAACATGGAGAAACCCCGTCTCTACTAAAAATACAAAATTAGCTGAGTGTGGTGGTGCATACCTCTAATCCCAGCTACTCAGGGTGCTGAGGCAGGAGAATCACTTGAACCCAGGAGGTGGAGGTTGCATTGAGCTGAGATCATGCCATTGCACTCCAGCCTGGGCAACAAGAGTGAAACTCCGTCTCAAAAAAAAAAAAAGGAAGAAAGAAAGAGGGTTATTGCAGATGCTATTGATTAGGATGAAGTCATCCTGGAGTAGGGATGGCCCTAAGTCAATGACTGGTGTCCTTATAAAAGAGGAGAGGACACGCTGAGTCATGGAGACACAGGGAAGAAGGCCATGGATCAGACAGAAGATTGGACTGATGCGTCTGCAAACCAAGGAACACTGAAAACTGCCAGGAGACCACAGGAAGCTAGGAAGAGGCAAGGCAGGACTCCCTGACAAGTGCAGGAGAGAGTGTGGCCCTGCTGGCACCTCCATTTCAGACTGCTGGCCACCAGAGCCACAAGACAATCAATTTCTCTTGTTTCAAGTCACCCAGCTTGTGGTACTTGGTTGTGGCAGCCCTAGAGAATGAATATAAGTACTTTCTTTTTTTTTTTCTTTTTTTGAGACGGAGTTTCACTCTGTTGCCCAGGCTGGAGTGCAGTGGCGCGATCTCGGCTCACTGCAAGATCTGCCTCCCAGGTTCACGCCATGCTCCTGCCTCAGCCTCCCGAGTAGCTGGGACTACAGGCACCTGCCACCAAGCCCTGCTAATTTTTTGTATTTTTAACAGAGACGGGGTTTCACCGTGTTAGCCAGGATAGTCTCCATCTCCTGACCTCGTGATCCACCTGCCTCAGCCTCCCAAAGTGCTGGGATTACAGACGTGAACCACTGTGCCCGGCTAAATATAAGTGCTTTTAAATTAACTCTCCTCTTCTCTCCATCTTCTTCTAAATCATCATTTTTGCCTGAGCAACAGCTAGGGTCTAATACGGATGTGATGATTCACTTCAAAGTGGGGGAAGCCAGTCCCCATGTGCGCCCAAAGCTCCTGCTGCCTTGGCCCTGGGCTCAGAGACTGGACCATCATTCTGGAGGCTTGCTGAAGATCTGAGACAGGGCAGCATTCTCTGTTGCCTTTAAACAAAGGCTGGTGCTCGCCCAGGCATTTGAGCTCCACCGAGGATCTATTTGGAAGGCAGAATTCTGAGATGACCCCTTAGCTTCTTGCCCTGGATAAATGCCAGGTGTAATCTCCTCTCCCTTGGAGTGTAGGCAGGACCCGTGGCTTGCTTCTAATCTATACCTATGGAAAAGTTGAAGGGATTTTGCAGATGTAACTAAGCCCCTAATCTGTTCGCTTTGAGTTAATCAAAAGGGAGATTATTCAGGGTGGGCCTGACATCTTCAGGTGAGATCTTCAATGAGGGTCTGGAGGAGAGAGACTCCTTCCTCCTGGTTTTTGGCTTTTGTTTGTTTGCTTGTTTTTGAGATGGAGTCTCACTCTGTTGCCCAGGCTGGAGTGCAGTGGCACGATCTCGGCTTACTGCAACTTCTGCCTCCTGGGTTCAAGTGATTCTCCTGCCTCAGCCTCCCAAGTAGCTGGGATTACAGACATGCGCCATCATGCCAGGCTAAGTTTTGTATTTTTAGTAAAGATGGGGTTTCACCATATTGGCCAGGCTGGTCTCGAACTCCTAACCTCGGGTGATCCACCTGCCTCAGCCTCCGAAAGTGCTGGGATTACAGGCGTGAGCCACCACACCCGGCTGGTTTTGAAGAAGCCACATGAGTTCCACAGTTGCATGGAAATAAATTCTGCCAACAACCATGTGAGGTTGGGAGAAGACCCTAAGCCTCATATGAGACACTAATTGCAGCCGACACCTTGATCACAACCTTGTAAGTACCTGAGCAGAGGACCCAGCTGAAGCTGCAACCCCAGACTCCTGACCCACAGGAAAGGAGAGGTAATAGATGGATGTTTTAAGCTGCTAAATTTGTGTTGATTTGTTATGTAGCTTAGAAAATGAATACATCATTCCATTTTTTAAAAATCATAAGCTAATCACACCATTCGATTTTTTTTTTTTTTTTTTTTTTTTTTTTTTTTTTTGAGGCAGAGTCTCACTCTGTCACCCAGGCTGGAGTGCAGTGGTGCAATCTCGGCTCACTGTAACCTCTGCCTCCTGGGTTCAAGTGATTCCCTTGACTCAGCCCCCCAAGTAGCTGAGACTACAGGCATGCACCACCACACCCAGCTAACTTTTGTATTTTTAGTAGAGATGGATTTTCACCATGTTGGCCAGGCTGGTCTCGATCTCCTGACCACAAGTGACCTGCCTGCCTCAGCCTCCCAAAGTGCTGGGGTTACTGACATGAGCCACCGCACCCGGCCCGACACACCATTCAATTTTAAGGAACTTCCAGGTGCTGTGGTCAAGCCCCTCTTGTGTGGCATGGAGGTGGGGAGAGATGGGTTGGAAGATGACTGGATACGGGCACGGAGCTAGGTGGGAAGAGGAAAAGTGTCTTGAAGGAAGTAAG
The DNA here is from genome assembly GCF_000001405.40 of Homo sapiens. Classification (NCBI taxonomy): domain Eukaryota; kingdom Metazoa; phylum Chordata; class Mammalia; order Primates; family Hominidae; genus Homo; species Homo sapiens. The sequence goes on along the minus strand of NT_187537.1, from coordinate 196,542 downwards.
TCCCTTCAGATAAGGGAGGAGGAAGAAGCTTGATCAATATGCAGACTTGCACAGTCCTTCAGTCCTGGGGATATTGGAGGAGAGAAAGGTCTTGCCTTGTATTTGAGAGTTACCATCCCAGGCAGAGGCCCTACTTCCACCTTCTTGCAGGTGGGGCTGGAGTGCAAATACTTAGAGGAGAAATGAACACCCTTTGTAAGCATGTGAAAAGTTTCTGGAGTGGAGAGATGATGAAGCAGGATATTTGGAGTCAACAGCCAATGTTTTTATTTTATTTTTTATTTTTTATCATGCTTTAAGTTTTAGGGTGCATGTGCACAACGTGCAGATTTGTTACATATGTATACATGTGCCATGTTGGTGTGCTGCACCCATTAACTCGTCATTTAACATTAGGTATATCTCCGAATGCTATCCCTCCCCCCTCCCCCCACCCCAAAACAGGCCCCCGTGTGTGATGTTCCCCTTCCTGTGTCCATGTGTTCTCATTGTTTAATTCCCAGCTATGAGTGAGAACATGCAGTGTTTGGTTTTTTGTCCTTGCGATAGTTTGCTGAGAATGATGGTTTCCAGCTTCATCCATGTCCCTACAAAGGAAAGGAACTCATCATTTTTTATGGCTGCATAGTATTCCATGGTGTGTATATGCCACATTTTATTAATCCAGTCTATTGTTGGACATTTGGCTTGTTTCCAAGTCTTTGCTATTGTGAATAGTGGCACAATAAACATACATGTGCATGTGTCTTTATAGCAGCATGATTTGTAATCCTTTGGGTATATACCCAGTAATGGGATGGCTGGGTCAAATGGTATTTCTAGTTCTAAATCCCTGAGGAATCGCCACACTGACTTCCACAATGGTTGAACTAGTTTACAGTCCCACCAACAGTGTAAAAGTGTTCCTATTTCTCCACATCCTCTCCAGCACCTGTTGTTTCCTGCCTCTTTAATGATCGCCATTCTAACTGGTGTGAGATGGTATCTCATTGTGGTTTTGATTTGCATTTCTCTGGCCAGTGGTGATGAGCATTTTTTCATGTGTCTTTTGGCTGCATAAATGTCTTCTTTTCAGAGGTGTTTGCTCATTTCCTTTGCCCACTTGTTGATGGGGTTGTTTGTTTTTGTCTTGTAAATTTGTTGGAGTTCATTGTAGATTCTGGATATCAGCCCTTTGTCAGATGAATAGATTGCAAAAATTTTCTCCCATTCTGTAGGTTGCCTATTCACTCTGATGGTAGTTTCTTTTGCTGTGCAGAAGCTCTTGAGTTTAATTAGATCCTATTTGTCAATTTTGGCATTTGTTGCCATTGCTTTTGGTGTTTTAGACATGAAGTCCTTGCCCATGCCTATGTTCTGAATGGTATTGCCTAGGTTTTCTTCTAAGGCTTTTATGGTTTTAGGTCTAACATTTAAGTCTTTAATCCATCTTGAATTAATTTTTGTATAAGGTGTAAGGAAGGGATCCAGTTTCAGCTTTCTACATATGGCTAGCCAGTTTTCCCAGCACCATTTATTAAATAGGGAATCCTTTCCCCATTTCTTGTTTTTCTCAAGTTTGTCAAAGATCAGATAGTTGTAGATATGTGGCATTATTTTTGAGGGCTCTATTCTGTTCCATTGGTCTATATCTCTGTTTTGGTACCAGTACCATGCTGTTTTGGTTACTGTAGCCTTGTAGAATAGTTTGAAGTCAGGTAGCATGATGCCTCCAGCTTTGTTCTTTTGGCTTAGGATTGACTTGGCAATGTGGGCTCTTTTTTTGGTTCCATATGAACTTTAAAGTAGTTTTTTCCAATTCTGTGAAGAAAGTCATTGGTAGCTTGATGGGGATGGCATTGAATCTATAAATTACCTTCGGCAGTATGGCCATTTTTACAATATTGATTCTTCCTACCCATGAGCATGGAATGTTCTTCCATTTGTTTGTATCCTCTTATTTCGTTGAGCAGTGGTTTATAGTTCTCCTTGAAGAGGTCCTTCACTTCCCTTGTAAGTTGGATTCCTAGGTATTTTATTCTCTTTGAAGCAATTGTGAATGGGAGTTCACTCAGGATTTGGCTCTCTGTCTGTTATTGGTGTATTAGAATGCTTGTGATTTTTGCACATTGATTTTGTATCCTGAGACTTTGCTGAAGTTGCCTATCAGCTTAAGGAGATTTTGGGCTGAGATGATGGGGTTTTCTAGATATACAATCATGTCATCTGCAAACGGGGACAATTTGACTTCCTCTTTTCCTAATTGAATGCCCTTTGTTTCCTTCTCCTGCCTAATTGCCCTGACCAGAACTTCCAACACTATGTTGAATAGGAGCACTGAGAGAGGGCATCCCTGTCTGGTGCCAGTTTTCAAAGGGAATGCTTCGAGTTTTTGCCCATTCAGTATGATATTGGCTGTGGGTTTGTCATAGATAGCTCTTATTATTTTGAGATATGTCCCATCAATACCTAATTTATTGAGTTTTTAGCATGAAGCATTGTTGAATTTTGTCACAGGCCTTTTCTGCATCTAATGAGATAATCATATGGTTTTTGTCATTGGTTCTGTTTATATGCTGGATTATGTTTATTGATTTGTGTATGTTGAACCAGCCTTGCATCCCAGGGATGAAGCCCACGTGATCATGGTCAATAAGCTTTTTGATGTGCTGCTGGATTCGGTTTGCCAGTATTTTATTGAGGATTTTTGCATCGATGTTCATCAGGGATATTGATCTAAAATTCTCTTTTTTTGTTTTGTCTCTGCCAGGCTTTGGTATCAGGATGATGCTGGCCTCATAAAACAAGTTAGGGAGGATTCTCTCTTTTTCTATTGTTTGGAATAGTTTCAGAAGGAATGGTACCAGCTCCTCCTTATACCTCTGGTAGAATTCGGCTGTGAATCCATCTGGTCCTGGACTCTTTTTGGTTGGTAAGCTATTAATTATTGCCTTAATTTTAGAGCCTGTTATTGATCTATTCAGAGATTCAACTTCTTCCTGGTTTAGTCTTGGAAAGGTGTATGTGTTGAGGAATTTATCCATTCCTTCTAGATTTTCTAGTTCATTTGCATAGACGTGCTTATAGTATTCTCTGATGGTAGTTTGTATTTCTGTGGGATTGGTGGTGATATCACCTTTATCATTTTTTATTGTGTCTATTTGATTCTTCTCTCTTTTCTTCTTTATTAGTCTTGCTAGCGGTCTATCAATTTTGTTGATCTTTTCAAAAAACCAGCTCCTGGATTCATGGATTTTTTGAAGGGTTTTTTGTGTCTCTATTTCCTTCAGTTCTGCTCTGATCTTAATTGTTTCTTGCCTTCTGCTAGCTTTTGAATGTGTTTGCTCTTGCTTCTCTAGTTCTTTTAATTGTGATGTTAGGGTGTCAACTTTAGATCTCTCCTGTTTCTCTTGTGGTCATTTAGTGCTATAAATTTCCCTCTACACACTGCTTTGAATGTGTCCCAGAGATTCTGGTATGTTGTGTCTTTGTTCTCATTGGTTTCAAAGAACATCTTTATTTCTGCCTTCATTTCGTTATTTACCCAGTAGTCATTCAGGAGCAGTTTGTTCAGTTTCCATGTAGTTGAGTGGTTTTGAGTGAATTTCTTAATCCTGAGTTCTAGTTTGATTGCACTGTGGTCTGAGAGTTTGTTATAATTTCTGTTGTTTTACATTTGCTGAGGAGTGCTTCACTTCCAAATATGTGGTCAATTTTGGAATAAGTGTGGTGTGGTGCTGAGAAGAATATATATTCTGTTGGTTTGGGGTGGAGAGTTCTGTAGATGTCTATTAGGTCCTCTTGGTGAAGAGCTGAGTTCAATCCCTGGATATCCTTGTTAACTTTCTGTCTCGTTAATCTGTCTAATGTTGACAGTGGGGTGTTAAAATCTCCCATTATTATCATGTGGGAGTCTAAGTCTCTTTGTAGGTCTCTAAGGACTTGCTTTATGAATCTGGGTGCTCCTGTATTGGGTGCAGATATATTTAGGATAGTTAGCACTTCTTGTTGAATTGATCCCTTTACCATTATGTAATGGCCTTCTTTGTCTCTTTTGATCTTTGCTGGTTTAAAGTCTGTTTTATCAGAGACTAGGATTGCAACCCCTGCCTTTTTTTGTTTTCCATTTGCTTGGTAGATCTTCCTCCATCCCTTTATTTTGAGCCTATGTGTGTCTCTGCACATGAGATGGGTTTCCTGAATACAGGACAGTGATGGGTCTTGACTCTTTATCCAATTTGCCAGTCTGTGTCTTTTAATCAGAGAATTCAGCCCATTGACACTTAAGGTTAATATTGTTATGTGTGAATTTGATCCTGTCATTATGAGGTTAGCTGGTTATTTCTCTCGTTAGTTGATGCAGTTTCTTCCTAGCCTCGATGGTCTTTACAATTTGGCATGTTTTTGCAGTGGCTGTAACGGTTTTTCCTTTCCATGTTTAGTGCTTCCTTCAGGAGCTCTTGTAGGGCAGGCCTGGTGGTGACAAAATCTCTCAGCATTTGCTTGTCTGTAAAGTATTTTATTTCTCCTTCACTTATGAAGCTTAGTTTGGCTGGATATGAGATTCTGGGTTGAAAATTCTTCTCTTTAAGAATGTTGAAAATTGGCCCCCACTCTCTTCTGGCTTGTAGAGCTTCTGCTGAGAGATCAGTTGTTAGTCTGATGGACTTCCCTTTGTAGGTAACCCGACCTTTCTCTCTGGCTGCCCTTAACATTTTTTCCTTCATTTTAACTTTGGTGAATCTGACAATTATGTGTCTTGGAGTTGCTCTTCTCAAGGAGTATCTTTGTGGCATTCTCTGTATTTCCCGAATTTGAATGTTGGCCTGCCTTGCTAGATTGGGGAAGTTCTCCTGCATAATATCCTGCAGAGTGTTTTCCAACTTGGTTCCATTCTCCCCCATCACTTTCAGGTACACCAATCAGACGTAGATTTTGTCTTTTCACATAGTCCCATATTTCTTGGAGGCTTTGTTCATTTCTTTATATTCTTTTTTCTCTAAACTTCTCACTTCATTTCATTCATTTCATCTTCCATCACTGATATCCTTACTTACAGTTGATCAAATCAGTTACTGAGGCTTGTGCATTTGTCATGTAGTTCTCTTGCCTCGGTTTTCAGCTCCATCAGGTCCTTTAAGGACTTCTCTGCATTGGTTATTCTAGTTAGCCATTCATCCATATAGTTAGCCATTCATCTAACCTTTTTTCAAGGATTTTAACTTCTTTGCCATGGGTTTGAACTTCCTCCTTTAGTTCGGAGTAGTTTGATCGTCTGAAGCCTTCTTCTCTCAACTCATCAAAGTCATTCTCTGTCCAGCTTTGTTCCATTGCTGGTGAGGAGCTGCATTCCTTTGGAGGAGGAGAGGCTCTCTGATTTTTAGAGTTTCCCATTTTTTCTGCTCTGTTTTTTCCCCATCTTTGCGGTTTTATCTACCTTTGGTCTTTGATGATGGTGATGTACAGATGGGGTTTTTTGTGTGGATATCCCTTCTCTTTGTTAGTTTTCCTTCTAACAGTCAGGACCCTCAGCTGCAGGTCTGTTGGAGTTTGCTGGAGGTCCACTCCAGACCCTGTTAGCCTGGGTATCAGCAGCAGAGGCTGCAGAACAGTGGATATTGGTGAGCTGCAAATGTTGCCGTCTGATTGTTCCTCTGGAAGTTTTGTCTCAGAGAGTACCCAGCCATGTGAGGTGTCAGTCTGCCCCTACTGGGGGGTGCCTCCCAATTAGGCTACTTGGGGGTCAGGGACCCACTTGAGGAGGCAGTCTTCCCATTCTCAGATCTCCAGCTGCATGCTGGGAGAACCACTACTCTCTTCAAAGCTGTCAGACAGGGACATTTAAGTCTGCAGAGGATTCTGCCGCCTTTTGTTTGGCAATGCCCTGCCCCCAGAGGTGGAGTCTACAGAGGCAGGCAGGCCTCCTTAAGCTGCAGTGGGCTCCACCCAGTTCGAGCTTCCCAGCCACTTTGTTTACCTACTGAAGCCCAGGCAATGGCGGTCGCCCCTCTCCCAGCCTTGCTGCCTCCTTGCAGTTTGATCTCAGACTGCTGTGCTAGCAATAAGTGAGGCTCCGTGAATGTAGGACCCTCTGAGCCAGGTGCGGGATATAATCTCCTGGTGTGCCATTTGCTAAGACTGTTGGAAAAGCACAGTATTAGGGTGAGAGTGACCCGATTTTCCAGGTGCCATCTGTCACCCCTTTCTTTGACTAGGGAAGGGAATTCTCTGACCCCTTGCACTTCCCGGGTGAGGCAATGCCTCACCTTGCTTGGGCTCATGCTCAGTGCACTGCACCCACTGTCCTGCACCCACTTTCTGACACTCCCCACTGAGATGAACCAAGTACCTCATTTGGAAATGCAGAAATCTCCTGTCTTCTGTGTCACTCATGCTGGGAGCTGTAGACTGGAGCTCTTCCTATTCGGCCATCTTGGCTCCACCCCCACTATTATGATTCTTACACAGAGTCCTTTGCCTTCCAGCAGCCTCCTCTCCATCCTTTTTAGGTCAGAATCCCTCTATTTTAGTGGCCACTGGGATTCTGAAATGACCAGGTCTTTGTCTCAAAGACCTCACACATGCTGTTCCCTCTGCCTGGAACACTTTTCCTTGCTCTGGTCCCCTGAGATATCTTTCAGCTCAACTGCCCCATGCTCAGAGAGCCCCTTTCTCCCTCTCTAGTTTTAAGCCAGTTTACCCCTGTAGTCTGTGCCTGGAAAACTCGTTTTCCTCCTTGGTGCCTCCCGAGTTGTCCTGGGATGTATGTGCCTGTTAGGGTGTCTGTTGTCTGTCTCCCCGACTGGACTGCATGCTCCTAGTGAGCTGGAGGGACTGGACTAGCACAGGCCAAGTCCCTGGGGCTGGAGGGAGCAGGGCAGAAGGCACAGGCAAAAGGCCTTTGTGATCTGGAGGGAAGTGAAGGAGAGGGAGAGAGATGAGAGAGGCTGGCAGAAGATGGGCCAGGGGCCAGGCTGTGTGGGATCTTTTGGGCCACAGAAAGACATTTGAATTCTCATTTAAGAAAACCAGGACACCATTGGAGGGTATGAGTCACGTCATCTAACTGAGCTCTGTAAATGTTAATATTTTATTATTTTTATACAATTCTTTAAAAGTGATTTTAATTATTTACCTTTTTATTTTTATTACTTTTATTTTTTCTTTTTTTGAGACAAAATCTTGTGCTGTTGCCCAAACTGGAGTACAATGGCATGATCTCAGCTCACTTCAACTTCCACCTCCTGGGTTCAAGTGATTCTCCTGTATCAGACTCCCGAGTAGCTGGGGTTATAGGCGTCTGCCACCAAGCTCAGCTTATTTTTGTATTTTTAGGAGAGACGACGTTTCACCATGTTGGCCAGGCTGGTCTTGAACTCCTGAACTCAGGTGATCCACCCACCTCAGCCTCCCAAAGTGCTGGGATTACAGGGGTGAGCCACCATGCCCGACCTTATTTACTTTTTTAAAAAAGATCAGGCCAGGCACGGTAGCTCATGTCTCTAATCTCAGCACTTTGGGAGGCTGAGGCGGGATGATCACTTGAGGCCAGGAGTTCAAAACCAGCCTAGGCAACATAGTGAGACATCCCCTGCCCCAATCTCTAAAAAAATGAGAAAATTAGGCACGGTGGTTGGTCTGTATCCCCAGCTACTGGGGAGCCTGAGGTAGGCAGGACTGCTTGACACCAGGAGATTGAGGCTCCACTGAGCTGTGACTATGCCATTGAGCTACAGCCTGGGAAACAGAGTGAGACCCTGGAGCCGCCTCAGCCTCCCTAGAGCTGACCGAGCTCTGCTTCTTATTCCAGGAATGACGGACGCTGGGGCTTTGATGGGCACCGGGTGAAATGGGCAGAGTGGCGCTTACCCGGGATGGCGGTGAAGCGGGACCGGGAGGTCATCGTGACAAAGGGTGGCATGAGGTACCTGGCCTTGACGCCCTCCCCGGCTAGACGGTCCAGATTGGGGGTGTCCACATCCTGATCCTAGTCCCAGCGGAAGCCCTGGAAGGAGATCAGCAGCAGCTGTGAGTGCTCTTCCTCCCTGGGACGGGGTGGCTACTCAGTAGGACAGGCGGCAGCAGCTGGAGGGCCCCGAACCCTGTCATCCCATGAGCACCTGTCATGCACTCCTCACAGAGATCGTGGGCTTCTCCCTCTTTAATCCGTTGTTGAACAACGTCCACATTAATAATTCAGCCCAGCTCTGTTGTGGGACAAACAACCCGGAGTGTAGCAAGGTGCCGCATATTTGCAGGACAGGATGAAAGCGTTCTGGAGATGGATGGGGGACATGGCTGTACAATGTGGTGGATGCACTTAACACCACTGAATTTTTCCTTTGAAAATGGCTAAAATAATAGATTTTGTATGTATTTTACCACAATAAAAAAATTAAACTGGCCTGGCGTGGTGGCTTACACCTGTAATCCCAGCACTTTGGGAGGCCGAGGCGGGTAGATCATTTGAGGTCAGGAGTTCGAGCCCAGCCTGGCCAACATGGAGAAACCCCATTTCTACTAAAAATGCAAATATTAGCAGGGCGTGGCGGTACATGTCTGTAATTCCAGCTACTTGGGAGGCTGAGGCAGGAGAATGGCTTGAACCCGGGAGGTAGAGGTTGCAGTGAGCCGGGATTGTGCCACTGCACTCCAACCTGGACGATGGAATGAGACTCCGTCTCCAAAAACAAAAAAAATCAAACCATGTGAAATATTTTGGGCCCTTATACTAATTCCAACATTTTGAAGATCTGGGGAGAACAAACTAGATTGGTGCTTTCCTTGGCTTAGTATGTCCTGTTTTTATAGGGAGAGCAAATTACTGTTCACCAGCACTATTAAAATAGCTACAACAGGATGGGCATGGTGGCTCACACCTGTAATCCCAGCACTTTGGGAAGCTGAGGTGGGAGGATCGCTTGAGCCCAGGAGTTCAAGATGTCAGCCTGGGCAACATGGCGAGACCCTGTCACTACCAAAAATACAACAACAACAACAAAAATAGCTGGGTGTGGTTGCGTGCACCTGTAGTCCCAGCTACTTGAGAGGCTGAAGTGGGAGGATCACTTGTGCCCAGGAGGTTGAGGCTGCAGTAAGCTGTGATTATGCCACTGTACTCAGCCTGGGTGACAGAGTGAGACCCTGTCTCAAAAAAAAAAAAAAAAAAAAAGCTGCAGTGGACTCAGTGATCATGAGCCAGGCACTGTACACATATACATCACCTCATTTAATTTTTTCTCTTGTTTAAAATTATTTTTTCCTCTAATCCCCATGTTGATCAACATTTTCTTAATCCTAGGAATTTATTAGTTGAAAATTTCACATAAGAATTAAAAATTGCCTGGTGTGATGGCTTACATCTGTTATCCCAGCACTTTGGGAGGCTAAGATGAGAGAATCGCTTGAAGCAAGGAGTTTGGGCCAGTCTGGGTAATATAGTGAGAATGCAACTCTATAAAAAAATTAAAAACCCTGGGTGTGGCAGCGTTCACCTGTAGTCCCAGCTACTTGGAAGACTAGGTGGGAGGATTGCTTGAGCCCAGGCGGTAAAGGCAGCAGTGAGCTATGTTTGTGCCATTGCACTACAGCCTGGGTGATGGAGTGAGACTCTATCTCTAAAATAAATGAATAAAATTGTGGTATAATATATGCAACATTTACCATTTTGTGCATCGGAAAGTGTACAATTCAGTGACATTTTGTACATTAATCATGTGCAATTATCACCACTACCTAGTTTCAGGGCTTTTTCAACACCTCAATTGGAAGCCTCATATCCATTCAGCAGTCACTCTGCATACCCCCTCCTGCAGCCCCTGGAAACCTCTCATCTACTTTCTATCTCTGTCGATTGGCTTAGTCTGAACATTGCATATAAATGGAATTGTACAATATATGACTTTTCATGTCTGCTTCTTTCACTGAGCATGTTTTTAACGTTCATCCATATCACAGCATGGATAAGTTTTATTTTCTTTTTAGACACTATCTAAAAAGAAAAAAAAGTTGTAAAACAAAAAAAAGTATATAGGATGGAGATCAGATGTGTCCTGCAAAGCTGATAATAGTTACTATCTAGCACTTTACATAGAAGCTTGCCTACCTCTGAATGATATGCAGGTACAGGGATGACATTTATCTTGGCACTTATAGAAAGACCTGTAAGTTGTATAAAGATGTCATCCTTGGATTTCCAGTAACAAGAAGCGGCAAGACATGACGGTGTGTCCAGGTGTTCAGGCGAAGTTTAGGGATGGTCTTGTTTTGACGAGGTCGGATGTGAGACCCAGATGAGATAACCCCATTTCCCCTGCTGAAATTGCCTGAGAATTTCGTTCCAGTTATTTGTGTGGGTTGATTCTTTCAGTGGGGGGTGGGGTGGGTGAGGAGGTGAAGTGTCAGGGGAGTTCTATTGTGTATTTGCACAACTTGGCTTTCTTTTCACTTGGTGTGGTGTTTTGCTGTATGAGGAATTTCATAGAATTTTGTAATGAGTATGCAGCATAGTGGTTTGAATCCTGCCAGGCTAAGGGTCATATCTCAGCTCTGCATCTCATTATCTCTGATGCCTTGGGGCAGGTCCCATAACTCTCCAAGACTCTGTTCTATATTCCATGGGGTTGTGAGGTTCAGATGAAATAATGCATGCTGGCAGGAATGGTTACTGCTCATGGGATTTCCATGTGCTCCCCATATTCCCCAGACCCCCAGTAGTTAGATGGATCCATGCCAGGGTCCAATGCTCTATAAGTGGAAGTCACTGACATCACCTCTAGTCTACGGCTTTTGAGGGCTTGGGAATAACTATCTCATCCTCTCATCTCCTGGTGCAGTAACTATGGGAGAATCCCTGCATTAAGATGGTAGAATTTCCATTATTCTAGGTCTTTGAGTGGCCATATGGAGCACACCATACCCAGCCAACCCATTGTGGACATGGAATGTAAGAAATCAACCTTGGTTGCTAAGCTGCTGAGACTCTGGGGTTAATTTGTTACTGTAGCATAACCTAGTCCATCCTGACACATGCAGCATGCAAACCACTTACGTTGACCCTTAGCCATGGTAAGTGCTCCACAGATGTTAGTTACTTTTGGTAGGAAGATAGATTGCCTCTGAAAGTTTTGTTAGCTGATCTCATGATGCCAATGTTGCTACTTTGTAATTGGATAAATTGGACTTGGCTCTCCTTCCAGCATGTGGGAGAGACAGATGACTGAGAGACAATAAAGCACTATTATCTTCAGTTTGTGCCCTTGGATACCCTTGGTGGCAATGAACAATGCATGCTCCTCTGAGAAAACTGGACCTAAAGGAGAATGGAAGGTGATACCAGAATTGGGAATGTCCAAGGCCCAAGGCATTCCCTGGTCTGGAGACCACTTTGAGTCCATGGTTGGGAAGATTCTCCAAGGGAACATAAATGCTTTTACTATCTAGTTTGTCTCTTTGAGAATTAAAACTCTTTTTTTTTTTTTCATTCCAGTAGCTTTTGGGGTAGAGTTTGGCTCTTTGAGAATTGCATACTAATTAATTTTAGGGGTGATTTGTACATCATCTCTATATTCCTGAAACACAGTAGAAACAGCCAGCAGTCAGGCAACCATCTACCATGACCATTAAAACATCCCCAAAGTGAAACACCAGATGTGATCTGCTAGATTTAGTGGAGGCGGCTGGCTCGAGAGTTGATTATATTCATTATCGTCACTGTGGTGATTATGGCCACAACATTGTGATGCGTCTTGGTCTTCTTCTGGTGAGTTGCAGTTTGGAAGGAATAAATCCATTGTTCTTTTTTCTTTCTTTTTTTTTTGAGTCTCGCTCTGTCGCCCAGGCTGGAGTGCAGTGGTGCCATGTCAGCGTACTGTAAACTCTGCCTCCCAGGTTCAAGTGCTTCTCCTGCCTCAGCCTCCCAAGTAGCTGGGATTACAGGCGCCCACCACCACACCTGGCTAATTTTTATATTTTTAATAGAGACGGGATTTCGCCATGTTGGCCAGGCTGGTCTTGAACTCCTGACCTCAGGTGATCCACCTGCCTCAGCCTCCCAAAGTGCTGGGATTACAGGTGTGAGCCACCACGCCCGGACCCATTATTCATTTAACCAATATCTATTGAGCACGTTGGGTATGGTGGAGGATGAACTGCAGGGGAGGGGAGGAAGCCTTCTCCTGCCACTATGTTTTCAAGTTGTGCTAATACTCCACCATGGGACATGCAGGCTTGTGGTTCCCAGAGCTCCAGAAGCATCTCCCAACCATACCATCCTGACCCAGGTTCTACTGAAAAATACATGAGTCTAGCAGAGCCATCTCTGACACTTCCCTTCTTTTGAATGGCTGATCTGTCAGTCATGGGGATCCCTTATGAAAGTGCAGTGTGCTTTGTGAAACTTGAGGCTGATCAAAGAATACCATTAAACTTTGTTAAGAAATCTACAGATTGATGACATACGCAGTGGGATGGAGGTGGGGAAATTCCCAAATACATTTTAGAAATTATCTCAGAAGGAGGTAATAGTCAGACTCTTGGTTGCCAGTGACAGAAACTCATCTTACTAGTGTGGAGTGGAAAAGGGATCATGTTTTGGTCTGCACTCCCCAACCCCAACCCCAAGCAGATCCTGAAAGAGGGACAGGATTGCAAGTGGATTATTTAGGAGATGATTCCAGGGAACACCAATAGGGGAGTGAGGAACTGATTCATGACAAGGCAGGAGGCCACACAGGAGGCTTCAGTGAGCAGCTTACCACTCCAGGCAACTAGGATTTGACCCCACTGGGGACCTCTGGGAAGTGATGTGGAATACATTTCAAAGTTGTTCCATCCAGGGGGGGAAATATTGAAGCATTTATAGCCTGGCTCCCATCCGTCACTGGCTGAGGACTGGTCCCAGGGCATCAACTCTCTGGCTTTTCTTTTCTCTTTTTTTGGTGGGGGACATAGTCGTGCTCTGTCACCCAGGCTGGACTGCAATGGCATGATCTCGGCTTACTGCAACATCTGCTTCCCAGGTTCAAACGATTCTCTTGCCTCAGCTTCCTGAGTAGCTGGGATTACAGGCGCCTGCCACCATGCCCTGCTAATTTTTTTATTTTTTGTAGAGACGGGGTTTTGCCACGTTGGTCAGGCTGGTCTCGAACTCCTGACCTCATGATCCACCCGCCTTGGCCTCCCAGTGTTGGGATTACGGGCATGAGTCACTGCACCCAGCTTCTGTGGCTTTTCTGACATATTCCCTGCCTGACTTTGAAAAAACTCTCAAGTGAAAGTCTTGGTTGTATGCAGTAGCAAGCATGGACTAGATTGATAAATACCAAGGGGCCTACCACAAGATCTCTCTTTCAATCTCTGGGTGGAGACACCTCAGAGCTGTCTCTCTATCTCTGTCTCTAGCTTTGTCTGCATACTGGCTTAATTTCTTCTTACTCAAGCCTTTTCTCCATAAGGTGAGATATGTGGCCACAAAAGCTCCTGTATTTCTCACTACACACAGTTCCTGTCATCACAGAGAATGATTAACTTGTTCTGGTTCCAGTTTGGAAAAATATTCAAGGGAAGAATTCTGATTGGCCAATTTAGGCCAGATGTTCATCCCTGGACCAATCAACTGAGGCCAGAGGGGTGGAGTCATATGAGAACATGGCAGCCCCCATGAGAGCCCCGTGACTGGAGTAGGAAGTGTGAGTCTCCATAGAGGGGAGGGCTGCTAGGCTGAAAAGGCAATAGATGTCTGCAGTGAAAGGAATAGATTAGGGGATATATTCTGTTAAACCTGTTAATTGTTAAAAAAAGAAACTTTCAATATACAGTTACAGTGTACGTGAGCCGGTGGCTCACGCCTATAATCCCAGCACTTTGGGAGGCCGAGGTGGGCAAATCAGAGGTCAGGAGTTCGAGACAAACCTGACGAACATGGTGAAACCCTGCCTTGTGCACCTATAATCCCAGCTACTCAGGAGGCTGAGGAAGGAGAATCGCTTGAACCCGGGAGGTGGAGGTTGCAGTGAGCTGAGGTCACGTCACTGCACTCCAGCCTGGGCAACAGAGTGGGACTCCCTCTCAGAAAAAAAAAAAAAAAATGTTACCTTGTTGTTCCTTCAGCATGATTTATTAGAAAGGAAAAACTTACCATATGCATATTTCCTATGCACAGGCTACTGCTATGAATTCAAATTCTTAAATTCCAAAGATTAATTACAATGTTTCTCAAGACACAGAAACTGTGTTAGAATCTGCTTATAATGAGGCTGAAGTTGAGTAAGAATAGAACTGGCATTTAGTACACTACTTTCCTTCTGTGGAGTACTGTCAAGTTTAGGTTCTGCCTGGAAGTAGATGCACCTCAAGGGAGGGTTACATGTAAAGGTGTGTGTGTGTGTGTGTGTGTGTGTGTGTGTGTGGTAGTTTCCGAAGATGGGTACAACTTTCTGCAAACGCTTGTGCAGTGTAATTGAACCAATCTTTCCTTTAAGAGGTAGAGTTTATATTCCTCTACATGAATCTGGGCTGTTTATGACTTGCTTTGGCCAGTGGAATGCTGCCAAAGTGATGGTGACCAATTTCTAGCCGTGAAAGGAAAATAAACCTTGGGCCCCCAAGATCAGTAAGCTAGGCCGGGCTCAGTGGCTCACGCCTGTAATCCCAGCACTTTGGGAAGCTGAGGCGGGCAGATCACCTGAGGTCAGGAGTTCAAGACCAGCCTGGCCAACATGATGAAACCCCCATCTCTACTAAAAAATATGAAAATAAGCCAGGTGTGGTGGCAGGCGCCTGTAATCCCAGCTACTCGGGAGGCTGAGGCAGGGAAAATTGCTTGAACCCTGGAGTTGGAGGTTGCAGTGAGCTGAGATCGCACCACTGCACTCCAGCCTGGGCAACAGAGTGAGACACTGTCCCAAAAAAAAAAAAAAAAAAGTTACTAGCTAAAGAGAAAAGTCAAGCTGGGAACTGCTTAGGGCAAACCTGCCTCCCATTCTATTCAGTCACCCCTTTGCTCACTGAGATAAATGTATATCTGATTGCCTCATTTGGAGAGGCTAATCAGGAACTCAAAAGAATGCAACCATTTGTCTCTTAACTACCTATGACCTGGAAGCCCCCTCTCCGCTTCGAGTTGTCTCACCTTCACCTTCACCTGGAGTTGTCCCGCCTTTCCAGACTGGACCAATGTATATCTTGCACATATTGATTCATGTCTCATGTCTCTCTAAAATGTATGAAACCAAGCTGTGTCCCTACCACCTTAGGCACATGTTGTCAGGACCTCCTGAGGCTGTATCACAGGCGTGCATCCTCAACCTTGGCAAAATAAACTTTCTGAATTAACTGAGACCTCAGATTTTTGGGGTGCATATAGTCTTAGGCCTTGAGAACCCTCTCGTAGTTTCCATATTTTTGCCCTCTTGGATGCTGGCACCAATCAAGCCTTGGCTATCCTGCTTAAAGGGCCATTTGGAGAGGGGCTCTGGAGGGCTAGGGGCCACATGGAGGAAAACAAGGTTCCCCGGCTGACAGGCAGCACCAACTGCCAGGCACACACGTGAGGCTGTCCTGGATGTTCCGCCCACCTGGCCCTCCAGCTGCAGGTAGCCACACAAATGAGCCCAGATTAAACTAGACAGGAAGTCCCCATGCAACTCACAGGGTCATGAGCAATAATGACTTGTGGTGGTTTAAAGTTTCTAATTTTAGGGTGCAATAGGTAACTGAAATAGCCCACAAGGGTGTGAACCTGTGGAGGGTGCATTTCCCACTTGTTGAAGCTTCTCAATTCCCAGGATCCAATCCGGATAAGACTGTTGTTCTCAGTGTCCTTGATGGAAATGGCAATGAACTTTTTGCAGATTGGACCATCTCAGGGGAATCCCAAAGATGGGAAACTATTTTCTTTCTTAGAAACTTCCACACAGCATTGAGCCTTAGGAATTTCTACGAAGGATCTGAAATGAAAAAAAATCTTTTGAAAAGGTATTTGTATAGCTTCACTTCAGCAAGATTCATGGTGGGTGTTAGACTAAGTGCTGGTGTTAAGCCAAACCATGTTTTTCAAAGACTCATCTGGCCTCAAGGTTGGCGGGATCACAGTGGCCTCCCAGGATCTATCACATCCTCAGAAGAGTTGGTTCAACTGGCATGTACCCAGATCTCTTTGAGCTAGTATGATACTCCCTTGAGTCAAAGGCTGCCACATCACATCTCCTTTAAGTCCCCCTAAGTACGACCCCAGAAGCATTGACAAAGTGTGCTATTACTGAAGATTTCAGGAGGACATAAATGAAGAGATTAAACTGCAAGGTACCAAAACTTCCATCTTTGCTGAAGACCCTCATCCAGGCTGGGTGCGGTGGCTCATGCCTGTAATCCCAGCACTTTGGGAGGCCAAGGCAGGCGGATCACCTGAGGTTGGGAGTTCAAGACCAGCCTGATCAACATGGAGAAACCCCGTCTCTACTGAAAATACAAAATTAGCCAGATGTGGTGGCACATGCCTGTAATCCCAGCTACTAGGGAGGCTGAGGTAGGAGAATCCCTTGAACCTGGGAGGTGTAGGTTGCGGTGAGCTGAGATCGTGCCATTGCACTCCAGCCTGGGCAACAAGAGCAAAACTCCATCTCAAAAACAAACAAACAAACAAAAAACCCTTATCCAATGGTCATGCCACTCTATCTGGCCATGTAATTTCTCCTCCTGGCTTTCTGTAGCAACAGCCTTCTGAGGAACCTCACTCTGCCTTACAAAACCCCTTCAACTTGTACCCTTCATCAGCAAAGTAGCTCAACATGTATGCCTCTGGGGGAACTCATCCACATGCCATTTAAGGGTATTTCCAGCAACATCATCTTTACTACCCCAGGACAGCATTTTAGAGTGGATTACGTGCCTGCTAGATGTGTTGTTCTTGAGCGAGCTAGAGAACACGCTACACTTTGAGATGAATTAAGAGTCTGTTTATTTAGCCGGCGGCTAAGAAACGGCTAACGTTTAAAGTTCTCTCGGCTTCGAAGAAGGGGCTAAGATTTTCTTTTATACTTTGGTTTAGAAAGGGGAGGGGGGTCTAGTTAAAACAATTTTACATAAGTAAAGTAGGCAAAAAAGTTAAAAGGATAAATTGTTACAGGAAAGTAAACAGTTCTAGGTCTAGGGCCTTTAAGACTATTATAAGGTGATAGACTCGGGGCTTTGGGCGTTATCAACCAGATGAATTCCTGGGAACTGTGGATATTGCTCACCACAGTATCTTATCAGTTAATTGCATTCTTCGATGTGCTGGGAGTCAGCTTGCACAAGTTAAGTCCTTGAGGAAGGGGCTGCCAGTGAAAGAGCCAAGATGGAGTCTGTCTGGCTCTCTTAGCTAAGGGAGAGTCAATTCAGGTGGAAACAAGGCTAGGTCATTAAAAGAAAGGGAGAGTCTAAAAACAGAGTTAGTAAAAACAAGGTTGGGCATTACATTCCTCATTTGTGTTTTTGGGGAATCAAATCGTTGATTCTTCAGTTATAAAAAGGGGGTTATATTGAGTCTTAAGATACATAAGTTTGACAGAAGCTATGCGTTGTTTTACAAAATTAAGAAACTAATTTAATATACAAGGCCCAAATATTAGACTTATTAGTAGGACGGGGAGGGGGTCTGGCTAACTTAGTAATTAGAGTGGTTAGCTATGGGTTCTAGTTGAACATGCTTTGATACTAGGGGATGTTATTTTCTTGTTCTTGTTGGCGCTTGTCTAGATTTTCTTGCACTTTTTGGCGTGTATCTTTTATGACTAAGAAAGGTGGAGGAACAGTCAAATCAACTTTGTCAGGGTGTTTCTGGAACATAGGGTTACTTAGATCAGTTAAAGATCTGATTGGCTTGGGTGGGCTTTATGAGACTAGGGTTTTTTTGGATGGTGAACATAGACTTAACATTAAATCCTGGGATATAAAATCTTAATCTTCATGACATGCCATGCCATGATACTATTGAGATGAATTAAGGTCATGGACAGTTACAGTAAGAGGATTACAATTTTTTCTAGTACATAATTTAGGATGAGAAGCACGACTTATGGAAACAGTTGAAGATCTGGTTGATCTTTTAGAGTAGGTGGCTAAAGTTACACATGTCTAATCAGGGCAGAAAAACTGATAAGCATCTTGACAGCTAGTGTCAGGGTGATTTCTAGGACAGAGGTAAAAGTCAATATTTTGGAGTCTTTTTTCTGCACTTTTGGAGCTCCTACATTTAGTTTGGCTCTTGGAGTGTCTGAATCTTGCTGCAAGGTCGACACTTCCTGCTCCTGGGACTGACAGATTGTGTTGCTTTTCATGGGTATGGGCTGGCTTTGGGAACAGTACAAATAAATCAACTGCAAAGGAGACTTCCTTGGAGGTACTGGCCTTCCAAGTGGTGTTTGCAAATACACGTCCTGTTGTGAAAGAGGTGAGGAGAAAGGAGTAGGAAGGCACGGAGGATGTAACTGGCAAAAACAAATAAGTGAGGTAGATAAAAAGAATGAATCTAATGGCTTCACCTGACTTAGGTGCAGTTTTAAGGGGCCTGACTTAGGCCTGGGGACTTATGTTTTTAGCTGGGCTCTGTTGGCCTTTTTGATGCGGGAGTGATGAATCTAAGCAGGAAGGCTGTCTACTTTCAGAGCAGTTGGAGTCGTGAGGATGACGGTGTGAGGTCTTTTCTAAGCAGGAGTGAGTCTTTCTTCTTGGAACTTTTTAACAAACACTAGGTCTCCTGGCTGGAATGAATGGCAGGAATTTGTCTGGTCAGGAATTGGATTGGGATGGGCTCCTCGAGCAAGTGGCAGGATGATCTCTTGTACCTGTTGGAGAGACTACAGGTACTGTAATAAATTAGTTTGTGATAATTCTGCTAATTTGGTATCTCTTAGCTTAGGCAAGATAGGCAGCGCCTTCTTATACATGATTTCAAAGGGTGAGAACTTAGCCTAGTAAGGGGTGCACCTTACTTTAAGTAGGGCTAAAGGAAGGAGACTTACTTAATTTACACTGGTTTTTAAGATTAATTTTGTAAGAGTGTTTTTTAGGGTGTGGTTCATGCGTTCTACTTGCCTGGAGCTCTGGGGTTGATAGGCACAATGGAGCTTCTATTGAATGTTTAACGCCTTACTGACTGACTGAGCTATAGGCGAGGTAAAGGCTGCTCTATTATCAGACTTTATAGCAGCAGGCAGCGTATATTGGGGGTTGATTTCATTGCGTAAAAACTTAACTACTGTGTTGGTAGTTTCGTTTTCAGTAGCAAATGCCTTAGTCTATCTGGAGAAGGTGTCTACTAGTACTAGAAGGTATTTGTACTTAGCCCGGTGTGGTTTTACTTCTGTAAAGTCAATTTCTTACTTTTTTCTTGGCGAGTTTTTTCAGAGACAGTGGCCTAGGCTGGGTTTAGGACTTTGTTTGGCATTTACTTGGGCGCAGGTTGTGCACTGGAGAGCTGCTTAATCTGTTAGGCTTTGAAGATGGGGGATCTTAAAATGGCTCCTGAGGAGCTGAGGTAGCTTTGCTCTTTTTAAGTGGGTGGTAGACTGTAGGTGACTGATTAAAGTTTCTTTAAGAGTTCAGGATATGAAGATTCTAGAGTCAGGAAGAATCTACTAACTTTCCTGATTTTTATTGGCTCTGAGATCTGAAGCCAGTTTTTTTTTGTTGTTGTTGAGTATACGGGATTGTCAGGCAGATCTGGCTGTGGAAAGGAGACTATGGGCAGCAAGTTTAGAGGCATGACTGAAGTTGCGCTGCGACCTGAGCTGCTGAATCAGCTTTCTGGTTACTATGGGCAACGGCCGTATTTTCTTTTTGATGTCCTTTGCAGTGGATCACAGCTACCTGCTGAGGTGAGTAGCCTGCCTTCCTGGTAGATGGCTTTACGTACATGCACAGTAGCAAAGGCATACTTGCTGTCACTGTAAATGTTAATACGTTTATTCTACTTTATCGGAGAGCCTGAGTGAGGGTGATCAATTCAGCCTTTTGTGCTGAGGTGTTCGCTGGTAAAGCGTGAGCTTACAACACATCTGTCTCCATGGTAACAGCTGCACTGGCTTTTCATACTTCCTGCTTGAGGAAGCTGCTACTGTCTGTGAACACGGCGGCATCTGCCTTTTCTAGGGGCACATCTTGAAGATCAGATGGGCCAGTTTGGATAGTTTCTAACAGTTCTTGACAGTCATGAGCAGGAATAGTGCAGTCTGGGTCAGGAAGTAGTGTGGCTGGATTGAAACACTTTGTGGGAGAGAAAGTCAAACGAGGCTGATCTAACTGACACTGCAAGATGCGAGCATTTGACATCTATTTGCCAGAAGCACTTCGTAGTAAGGTCTTTACAGCATGAGGAGCTGTAAGGGTTAAATTTTGGCTTAGAGTTAACTTATCATCTTCTTGGACTAGGCTTGCTGTAGCCTCTACGGCTCGCAGACAACTTGGCCATCTAGAGGCCACAGGATCTAGCCTCTTAGATAAATAGGCCACTGGGCGTCTTTAGGGTCTTAAAGCCTGAGTAAGCACCTCTTTAGCAACTCCTTGGTTTTTATGGAGATATTAGGGAGGGCTAAAGCAGGGGCTTCAGTTAATGCTAAATTAACGGGATATTTCATTCTGTACTTCTTGGATAGCCGCCACTAAGATTTTTGTTTGTCTTTTGAATGCTTTATCAGCGGCCTTTTCAGCTGCCTGTGTTGCTTGTTTTTGTTTTTTAACCTTTTGATGGTCAAAAGCTTTTTGGGCTATTTCTAAAAGCTGACTGATATTTATTCTAGCAAATCTTTCTAGTTTTTGGAGTTTCTTTTTTAATATCCGGGGCTGCCTGAGCCACAAATGCTAAATTAAGAGCACGGCTATTTTTGGGAGCTGCCGGGTCAAAAGGGGTGTAAATCCGATAAGCCTCCTGGAGGCGCTCTAAAACGTTCTTGGTGACTTATCGGGCCTTTGGACAACTTCGGTGGTCTTAGACAAGTTTATGGGTTTCTGAGTGGCTCTTTTAATACTTGCGAGGAGATACCGGTGAAAATCGTCTAAAGCTCTCTTTCTACTTGAGGAATTTGGGTCCCAGTTAGGCCGGGTAGAGGGAAAGACCTCCTCAAGGAGGTCTCTAGCTTCTCCTTCCGGTCCATTGGCTGATGTGAGGAAGTACTTTTTGGCTTCTTTTTGGATACGTTCTTTCTTTTCAGAGGTGAAAAGGGTTAAAAGGAGCTGTTGGCAATCATCTTAGGTGGGCGGGTGAGTCCGGAGTACGGACTCTATCAGAGAGGTCAAAGCCTGGGGCTTTTCAGAGAAGGGAGGATTATGGGTTTTCTAATTATATAAGTCAGAAGTAGAAAAAGGGACATAAACTAAGAAGGGGGCTGAGCGCTCGTCACCTGGAGGGACTTGTGCCTCTCTCAGTGGTAGTAGAGGGGCTACTTCTTCCTGTCACGGTCGCGATTGAGAGGCAATGGGTGGCGAGTCTACAGGGGACGTCGTCGAGGAGACATGGGATAACTTTAAGGGAGCAGGCTGGTTGTAAGGCGGTGGGACTGGGTGAGGGAGACTCCCCCCTTCTTCAGAGGGAGGCAGTACAGGAGAAGCCAAACCGGCTGAGGGTCGAGATGAAAAGGCGGTATGGCTTAGGAGGACCTTGGAGGTAGAATTATGAATGGCGCATGAGCGGAGCCATGGAGGGGGCTCCTGACTAAACTTAGCTATTGATCAATGTAGGGAAACTGATCAGGGTGGCTAGGAGTTTTAGTAACAACCGGCCACACAGCTTGAACAATTGTGAGGTTCAATGACCCTTCAGGGGGCCACTGGACTTTAAACTTTGGCCATTTTATTTTGCAGAGTGTCTGGAGCTTGCCTGTTTCAAGGCGGACTTTATAATCCTCTGAGAAACTGAGAGGAAAATTCTGCAGCACACATTGGAGAGGGCTTTAACTTTTACAAGTCTGGGAGGAAGTGTTTCTTTTTTTTTTTTTGAAGGCAATTTAATAAGATTTGAGCATAAATATTAAACCTAACATGGACAGAGAAACTTATTTCTTGGGGGACTGGAGTATTGAAAGAACAGAATCAACATGACTAGAAAGAGCAGAAAAACTACAACAGCTCATACTACTTGCTACATTACTGTAGCTTTAAGATTGAGGGAGGAGGACTAGAGCCAGCCTGAGATCTTCTGGGTCAGTTTGATCTAGGCGTTCTTCTTCTTCTAGATCTGTACTTTAAATACTTCTGGTGTCTTTATGACTTAAAGGCAAATAGCTTAGGCTTAGCTTTTTCTTTTAAGGGTTTAAGGAGTGAGAGCAGAGCAAAGTCATGGAGATGCTGAACTTGCTGTCACACCGGAAAATGAGATGTGCAGGGTAGGGGGCAGGAACGACGCGTAAAGGACTACTCAGATCATTTTTAAGATGGGAGAGTAGCCACAGAGGAACAGAGTAAGAATCTCGATGAAGTAAAGTAGTACGGGTGTGCGTTCTATTTCAGGGCACAGGAAAAGTTACAGAATGACAAAAGAGGTGAGCAAGGAAATCTGCAGGGTGGCTGTTTTGAACTTACTACTGGTTTAGATTAGAGGAGGTCTAATCACTTGGATGTAGGGTGTGACAATCTAAATACTTACAACTTTCATGGTGCTAGAAATCTTAATCAGGCAAATGTTTTTCACTCTTGTTCTTGTAACAACACTTGACTTGCTTCTGGCAGAAAAGACAGGACTGTGGTGGCCAGCCTAAACGATTGATGAGAAATTTAACCTCCTGTGACAAAAAAATCAGCACTAAGGACTTTGAAGAAGTTTTTACTTAGATGTCTTGGGCAATATCAACGTCTTGACATGCAAAACTTTGACAACTACTAACAAGACAGTAGACACTGAACAGAACAATCAACATAAACAATTGACTTTAGGGCATGTAAACAGTTATGAAAGTTTCTTCCTTTTTTTTTTTTTTTTAGACAGACAAGGGGAGGGGGTCCTGTGATGGGATCAGTCAGATGCCTGCCTGGCCGCTCCCCCTGAGGGGACTTGGGCTCCTCTTAGCATTGGCAGCCCGGTATAAACTTCCGGCTCAGATCGAGCTATGCCTGATGCTGTCCTTAAGCCTTAAGAGGTCGCCACGGAATCGCAGGTGAGGGCCCACTTGAACTCCGTAGCTTTCGCCGTGGAGCTACAAACTGGAGGACAAGCGCAAGCCCTTGTCCTCCCTCATTCATTCATTATTCACACAGAGTTTAAAACAGTTTTTTTTTCTTTCTTGGAGATTCTTCAAGAAACTGGAACAAGAGAAAGATGAGAGATAGAAAAAGAGAGCGAGAGAGAGAGTGACCGGTCTGCCAGAAACCAGGACTCAGTCCTCCAGCATCCTGGGATGTGGACTGAGTCAAGGGAGGGCCCCTATCAGGGCCACTTCCCTCCTAGACAGAGACACAGAGGTGCCTAACAGAAAACCAGGGCTCTGCCTTCTAGCGTCCTAGAGAAATGGGCAGAGTCAAAAGAGGGATGCCCTCATAAGGGCCGCTTCCCTCTTACTAGAACTGAAGTCAAATCTGACCTACCTGACCTCAGGGTCAGAAGTTGAGGACTCAGAGGTGGAATTTTTGTGGGCACCCACACGGTAGTCGATCCGCTTTCCTCTGGAAGACGGTCACCTTTCAGGGACCTGAAAATTTTTTTTCAAGTGGCGCCCCCACTACAATCCGGCCGTTCTTCCGGGGGGGGCCGGAGCAAGCCTGGCTCTCGCCTGGTGGCGTTTCTCACTGGGGCCTCCAAATGTTGTACTTGAGCGAGTTAGAGAAAATGCCACACTTTGAGACGAATTATGAGTCTATTTAGCCGGTGGCCAAGATACAGCTAATGCTTAAAGTTCTCTCGGCCCTGAAGAAGGGGCTAGATTTTCATTTATACTTTAGTTTAGAAAGGGGAAAGGGGTCTAGTTAAAACAATTTTACAGAAGTAGGCAAAGAAGTTAAAAGGATAAATTGTTACAGGAAAGTAAACAATTCTAGGTCTAAGGGCTTTAAGACTATTACAAAGTGATAGACGCGGGGCTTTGGGTGTTATCAATCAGACAAATTCCTAGTAACTGCGGATATTGCTCGTCCCACAGTATCTTATCACTTAATTGCATTCTTAGAGGTGCTAAGAGTCAGCTTGCACAAGTTAAGTCCTTGAGGAAGGGGCTGCCAGTGAAAAAGCCAAGACAAAGTCTATCTAGCTCTCTTAGCTAAAAGAAAGTCAATTCAGGTAGAAACAAGGCTAAGTGATTAAAAGAAAAGGAAAGTCTACCAACAAAGTTAGTAAAAACAAGGTTAGGCATTACAGATGGGGTCATCCTTATATTCAGCACAGTGTTTGTTCTGAAACTTCAATGGAGTGCTCCTAGTTTGATAACTTGGGCCATGCCAAATAAATTGAATTTCTCTTTCTTAACAACAGATGTTTGAATACAGCCCCGTGTCCCTCTCTGCTCCTTCCTGCCTTCCTCCTCTCCTCTTCCTTCCATTCCTTTTCAAGAGCAGGCTTTGCAAACTTTCTTGAAAGCATCAGATAGTAAATATTTTACAATTCTTGGGCCATACAGTCTCTTGTAGTAGTTACTCAACTCTGCCACCCATAGCATGAAAGCAGCTGATATAGGTTGAATATGTGTCCCCGCCCAAATCTCATGTTGCAATGTAATACCCAGTTTTAGAGGTGGGGCCTGGTGGGAAGAGATTGGATCATGGGGGTGGATTTCTCATGAATGATTTACCATCATCCCTTTGGTCCTGTCCTTGCAATAGTAAGTGAGTTCTTGCAAGATCTGGTTGTTTACGAGTGTGTAGCACCTCCCTCCTCACTCTCTTGCTCCCACTTCACCTTCTGCCATGATTGTAAGTTTCCTGAGGCCTCCACAGAAGCTCAGCTGATGTCAGTGTTATGCTTCCCTGTACAGTCTACAAAACTGTGAGCCAATTAAACCTCTTTTCTTTATACATTACCCAATCTCAGGTATTTCTTTATAGCATGAGAGAACAGCCTAATCCAGCAGCCATAGACAATATGTAGCAAATGGGCATAACTGTGTTTCAATAAAACTTTATTTACAAAAACATGTGCATGCAGGTCAGATTTGGCCATGGGCCATAGTATCCCAACCCCTGCTCTGGAATATTCTCTTCAGCCTGGATGGACATTTCTAGGTTTTTTGTTTTTTTTTTTTCCAGACAATGTCTCAATGTTGCCCAGGCTGGAGTGCAGTGGTGCAATCTTTGCTCACTGCAACCTCTGCCTCCTGGGTTCAAGCAATTCTCCTGCCTCAGCCTCCCAAGTACCTGGGATTACAGGCACCTGCCACCACACCTGGCTAATTTTTGTATTTTTTAATAGAAATAGGGTTTTACCATGTTGGCCAGGCTGGTCTCAAACTCCTGACATCAGGTGATCCACCCACCTCAGCCTCACAAAATGCTGACATTACAGGCTCCCACCACCACACCTGGCTAATTTTTGTATTTTTAGTAGAGATGTGATTTCACTATGTTGCCCAGGCTGGTCTTGAACTCCTGATCTCAAGTGATCCACCTGCCTCGGCCTCCCAAAGTGCTGGGATTACAGATGTGAGCCACTGCAGCTGCCCTCTAGATTTTTTTTTTTGACCATTGCTTATTTGGTTTGACTTTCATTTTCTTCCCCATTGTGGTAGCCCTTTTCTGAATGTCTGTTAGTTTGTCTGTCTCTCTCCTCTGTAGTCCCTAGAGTCAGATGAACTCCTCTGCAGGTGCAATGGTGTAACACTCTCTAGTGCTGAATTTTGAGCAGGAGAAAGAGAGCAAGAGTGACCAGCACTCTTGGAAACTCTGGCCTCTTGAGAATTTGGTGTCTTCTCTGCAAAGGCTGCAAACCTGTTAACCCACAGGCCAGAGAGAGAGAGAAGCCAGAAGCATGATCTGTTAAGCTTGAGTTTCATATTTGATGCACAGAGATCACTGTTTTTTGATGAGAATTAGAGGGGGAGACACGGCCACAGAGAACAATTTCTATCCCCAGGTGAGGATTCAGGAGATAATTCTGTGAACAGAACTTCCTGAGAACTGAGATGGGGGAAAATCACTGGTGTTAGAAGGGTGAAAAGGTCACTAATTAAGGCTATGACTATGCTCTGAGAGGCGAAAGAAGAAAATGAGACTGCCAGGCATGAATAATGAGAAATCTTTGATGGAATTAGCCATGCAGAGCAGATATTAAATGCATCCTCATTCCTTTCATAGTCAAAAGTTTTTGCTTAAGCTGGATGGGAAAAAGAGAATCCCATTTCACTAAGTATAAAAGAGGGGATTTTAAAGACGGTCTCAGAAGAATAAGATGTGGGGGTTTGGTGAAACTCACCAGAGGCTGAACCCTCTCCAGCATAACACAGGGATTGGGAGGAGTGGGGTGGCATTAGGCCAGGTGCATGGCCCAGTGCTGCTCTCTCTGGACTTTCTGCTCTCTCTGGACTTGTTTGCTAGCTGAGCTCATCCCTTTGCATAATTTTCAGTGCCATTTCTCAGCTTATGAGTCCTGAACTTTTGTCTTGAGGCTAGACTTCTCCTTCAAACAGCAGTCTTAAACACTCAACTTCTTTCTTGTTTTTTCCACTTGTGAACTCATGAACACCTCCATCTTGTTACATCCAAAGCCAAACTCATGGCTTGGAGTGGTAGGTGATGGCTGTAACCCCAGTGCTATGGGAGGCTGAGGCAGGAGGATTACTTGAGGCCAGGAGTTTGAAGCCAGCCTGGAAAACACAGTGAGACTCCCTATCTACCAAAAAAAAAAAAAAAAAAAAAAATTAGCTAGGCATGGTGAAGTGCATCTGTAGGATCTGTAATCCTGCTACTTGGGAGGCTGAGGCAGGAGGATCACTTGAGCCCAGGAGTTTGAGGCTGCAAAGAGCTATGATCGCACCAATGCACTCCAGCCTGGGTGACAGAGCCAGAGACCCTGTCTTAAAAAAAAACCCAAAGCCAAACTCTCTTTTTCCTCCTCCTTCTCCATGGGCTCTGTCCATGCCATCTCTGTTCTGTAAATGGCACCACCCCCTGCTGAGCTGCTCAAGGTGGTCATAACTCATGTGTTGTGCTAACTCTGCTTTTGCCCTCTTCTCCAGTCAGCAAGTCCTGTGATTCTAAACTTTACCCAACTTGTCCACTCTCTTTAACTTCACTGTTGTTATCTTTGCCTAGGGCACTGCTATCCCAGCTGGGCTACAGCAGCAGCCTCCTAACTGGTCTTAACTGGTCCTCTGCACCTACTCTTGATGCTCAGCAATCCATTTCCCACCTGGCAGCTTCAGTGATCTTAAGGTGTCCATTGAGTCTCACCCTTGCCTTTCCTGCCCATGGCACATAGAATAAAATCAAGACCCTGAGTCTTCTGCCTGACCCTGCCGCCTCTCCAGCCCTCTCCTATCTCCTCCCCTTGGCCTACTCTATTTCAGCCACTCTGGCCTCCTTTTGTTTTGTTGGACTTTCAAACCTTTTTCCACAACAGGGCCTTTGCACTTGCTGCTTCAGCCTGGAATGATTTTCCTCTGCACCTCCCCAAATTAGACCATCCTTTAGGTCTCAGCTAAAATGGTGCTTCCACAGAGAGCTCTTTCCTGACCCCTTTATAAAGTGGACTTCCCTGCTCTTCTCCACCTTAACCTCTTATTATTTCTTGTTGTGGGAAGTCAGGGACCCCAAATGGAGGGACTGGCTGGAGCTGTGGCAGAGGAACATAAATTGTGAAGATTTTATGGACATTTATCAGTTCCCAAATAATACTTTTATAATTTCTTATGCCTGTCTTTACTCTCTTAATCCTGTTATATTAATAAGCTAAGGATGTACATCACCTCAGGACCACTGTGATAACTGTGTTAACTGTACAAATTGATTTTAAAACATGTGTGTTTCAACAATATGAAATCAGTGCACCTTGAAAAAGAAGAGAATAACAGTGATTTTTAGGGAAAAAGGGAAGACAACCATAAGGTCTGACTGCCTGCAGGGTCAGGCAAAAAGAGCCATATGTTTCTTCTTGCAGAGAGTCTATAAAAGGATGTGCAGGTAGGAGGGATATCACTAAATTCTTTTCCTAGCAAGGAATATTAATACCCTGGGAAAGGAATGCACTCCTGGGGGGAGGTCTATAAATGGCCGCTTTGGGAATGTCTGTCTTACACAGTTGAGATAAGGACTGAGATACGCCCTGGTCTCCTGTAGTACCCAAAGCCTTACTAGGGTGGAGGAAAACTCTGCCCTGGTAAATCTGTGGTCAGACTGGTTCTCTTGTTTTCTGTTTTCTGTTGTTTAAGATGTTTATCAAGACAATACATGCGCCAATGAACGTAGACCCTTATCAGTGGTTCTGCTTTTGCCCTTTGCTTTGTGATCTTTGCTGGACCCTTATCAGTAGTTCTGCTTTTGCCCTTTGTCCTGTTCCCTCAGAAGCATGTGATCTTTTTTAGACCCTTAGTAGTAGTTCTGCTTTTTGCCCTTTGACGCATGTGATCTTTGTACCTACTCCCTGTTCTTACACTGCCTCCCCTTTTGAAACCCTTAATTAAGAACTTGCTGGTCTGAGACTCAGGGGACATCATGGTCCTACTGATATGTAATGTCACCCCCAGTGGCCCAGCTGTAAAATTCCTCTCTTTGTAGTGTCTCTCTTTATTTCTCAGCTGGCTGACACTTATGGAAAACAGAAAGAACCTACATTGAAATATTGGGGGGCAGGTTCCACCAATACTTCTTTCATGGATTTACTTATTTTTTGTTTGTCTCCCTCTGTATCCTAGAAACTCCTGGAGGGCAGAGCCATGCCTGCCATTTTCATCATTGCATTACCACCACCCAGCACAGTGCCTGGTACAAAAGAGTTGCTCAATAAATAAATCAGGATGAATGGACAAATACACGGATAGGCACTTTGAACTACAGATGAGCTTAAATACTTTGTGTTTTTCTTAGTCAAACATGTGCAATTAAGCATGTGATAAATTATATGATGACCACACCTGTGTCTTGCCTGATGTTCTTTGCAATCACTAAACAAAGTCAATTTTGCCTGTTTTGACAGTTCTGTTTTCAACCTAATGATCCGTTTCTTTTAACTTCTGGCTGTTGGCTTTGTTTGGGTTTGTTAGCCTGACAAAGTGGCAGATATTGGTATTTGCTCTTTTGTTTAAATGTCACGAACTTTAAAAATGCCTTTGCTTTTGGTAAGAAACCCTAGTTAGGACAGTCTAGTGGTCAGGATGATTTGGGTTCTGATGCAGTAACAACAACCCCCAAATCTCAGTGGCTCCATGCGGTGAGGTATTTGTTAGTTTTTGAGACAGGGTCTCACTCTGTCACCCAGACTAGAGTGCAGTGGTGCAATCTCAGCTCACTGCCACCTCTGCCTCCCAGACTCAAGTGATTCTCTGCCTCCTGAGTGGCTGGGATTACAGGCCCGTGCCACTACTGTCTGGCTAATTTTTTTACTTAGTAGAGACAGGATTTCACCATGTTAGCCAGGCTGGTCTTGAACTCCTGACCTCAAATGATCCACCTGCCTTGGCCTCCCAAAGTGCTGGGATGACAGGTGTGAGCCACCATGTCTGGCCACAATGAGGCTTATTCTTGGTCATGTTGCATGTCTGGGCTGTGTTAGGGCATTGTGGGGTGGTCTGTTCATTGTGTTCACTCAGGGATCCAGGCTGACAAAAGCCCCATCTCTGCATGTGTCCTTGATCACCACTTCAGGGGAAAGGGAATGTGCTGGATCACAGAGCCTCTTAACACTTCCACCTGGAGGTGACTCAAGTTGCTCCTGCTCATGGTTCATCGGACAAAACGGATCACAGAGTCATGGGCAACTTCTCTGTGCCTGGAAGGGGAACCAAAATATGAATAGCTACATTGATTTTCCCTAGCTATTACACAGAAGGCCTCATTTAAACACAGTTACTTATTTGTGTTTTGAAGCTAATTGTAGTCCATCAACCTTCACAGAAGATATGTGCACTTCTAAGCTATTATTAAGCACAGTTTTTTTTTTCTTTTGAGACAGAGTCTCACTCTCTTGCCCAGACTGGTGTGCAGTGGCATGATCATGGATCACTGCAACTTCTGCCTCCTGGGTTCAAGTGATTTTCATGCCTCAGCCTCCCAAAGTGCTGGGATTACAGACACCCACCACTGCACCTGGCTAAGTTTTGTATTTTTAGTAGAGATGGGGTTTCACCATGTTGGCTTGGCTGGTCTGGAACTCCTGACCTCAGGTTATCCACCTGCCTTGGCCTCCCAAAGTGCTGAGATGACAGGCGTGAGCCACCGCACCCGGCCTTGAGTATGATTTTTGATTGGGAACGTCAGAGTTACGGTTTTAGTCTGAGGACAGTATGACGTGAAGGTGAAAAGTAGAGCTTGGCTGTGAGTTTGCTGGGATTCCTGTGCTACTTCTACAGTTCTTCGGCTGTGTGACCATCACCTTTGGCAAGTTCCTTTACCTTTCTATGTGTTGGTTTCCACATCAATAAAATGGAAAAGAAAATCATAATCATAATATCTATTGGTGTTGGGATAGCCCAGTGGTTGACACATAAGGACTCAAAAATAGTTGTTTTTTTTTTTTTTTTTTTTAAGATGGAGTCTTGCTCTGTTGCCAGGCTGGAGTGCAGTGGTGCAATCTCGACTCACTGCAACCTCTGCCTCCTGGGTTCAAGCGATTCTCCTGCCTCAGCCTCCTGAGTAGCTGAGATTACAGATGCCACCACTCCCAGCTAATTTTTGTATTTTTAGTAGAAACGGGGTTTCACCATGTTGTCCAGGATGCTCTCAATCTCTTGACTTCATGATCCACCCACCTCAGCCTCCCAAAGTTTTGGGATTACAGGCATGAACCACCATGCCTGGCTCAAAAATACAATTATCAATTTTGGGGTGGAGTTACTATATTTTGTGAAAATCAGAATTCAGTACCTTGTAACACTGGGTTGGGATCTATCCCTGAAGGAACAGGCTTCTAAACAGGAAGGCATGGAGAGAGGGGCAAAATTTTAGTGGAAGTTGTAATGACTTTAGGTATATGGACCTGGGGTTAAGTTCTAGCTGCAGCCACCAGGTAGCAAGGTGGACTTTGCTAAATTCTATCACTTTCCTGGGCCTCAGACTCACTTGTTACAAATGGGGTTAAAGCATCCCTCTTTCAGGGCTAAGATAAAGATGATTAAGTAAGAGGGAATGAAAGCAACTTCCATCAATGCTCAAAAGTATTCGTTTAACATTTTTTTTTTTTTTTTGAGATGGAGTCTCTCCCTGTTGACCAGGTTGGAGTGCAGTGGCATGGTCCCGGGTCACTGCAACCTCCACCCCCTGGGTTCAGGTGATTCTCCTGCCTCAGCCTCCTGAGTAGCTGGGACTACAGGTGTGTGCCACCACACCTGGCTAATTTTTGTATTTTTAGTAGAGGTGGGGTTTCACCATGTTGGCCAGGATGGTCTCGATCTCTTGACCTTGTGATCCACCTACCTTAGCCTCCCAAGGTGTTGGGATTACAGGCATGAGCCACCATGCCCGGCCCACTTAACTTCTATATTACTTTCCTGTTGGTGGATTTACCAGTGCAAACTGAGCAGCTTAAACACCACCCAGTTATTATCTCTTTTCATGAGCCAAGGGTCTGGGCAGGGTTTAACTGGGCCTTCTATTCAGGGTCACAATACTGCAACCAGAGTGTCAGCTGGAGCTGGGCTCTCATCAGATGCTCAGGGTCCTCTTCCAAGCTTATTCAGTTTGTGGACTGAATTCAATTTCTTGCAATTGTTGAACGAAGGCCCTCAGCACCTAGAGCTGCCACCTCCAAAGACAGCTCACAGCATGGCCATTTGTGTCTCCTTGGAGGCTAAGGGTTGAATCTCTGAAACCTCACCTTTAAAAGGCTCATATGATTAGGTCTGGCCCACCTAAGATCATCCTGCTTTGGATGAACTCAAAGTCAGCTGAGCAAATGTGCTTAACAAAGCAAGTGTGACCATAATCACATTTGCAAAATTCCTTCCCCTTGGCCAAATCACAAGCTCTGGACACACTCAAGAAGAAGAGATGATACAGGGAGCAGATATAAGGGAGTGGGTCTCTTAGGGGCTGTCCTAGAATTCTGCCCATTACAACTTCCTTTCTCAAGGAACAGCAGGCCTGAGGAGAGATGATCACAGATGAGCACAGCCCACAGGTGGTGAGCACCTGGTGCTGCGGTAGGATGCAGGAGCCTGTGAAGCAAGTATGAAAAGCCTTCTCTGGGCTGGGTGCAGTGGCTCACGCCTGTAATCCCAGCACTTTGGGAGGCCGAGTTGGGCAGATCACGAGGTCAAGAGATCGAGACTATGCTGGGCAACCAACATGGTGAAACCCCATCTCTACTAAAAATACAAAAATTAGCTGGGCATGGTGGCACACGTCTCTAACAACCCAGCTCCCCAAGTGAGAAATTCCTGTCCCTTTTAAGGGCTCACAACTCTAAGGGGGTCCGTGTGAGAGGGTCGTGATCATAAGAGGGTTGTGATCGATTGACCAAGCAGGGAGTATGTGACTGGGGGCTGCATTCAGCAAACCCCAACTCTACTAAAAATACCAAAATTCAGTAATATCTCAGATACAAAATCAATGTACAAAAATCACAAGCATTCTTATACACCAATAACAGACAGAGAGCTAAATCATGAGTGAACTTCCATTCACAATTGCTTCAAAGAGAATAAAATACCTAGGAATCCAACTTATAAGGGACATGAAGGACCTCTTCAAGGAGAACTACAAACCACTGCTCAATGAAATAAAAGAGGATACAAACAAATGGAAGAACATTCCATGCTCATGGGTAGGAGGAATCAATATCATGAAAATGGCCATACTGCCCAAGGTAATTTATAGATTTAATGCCATCCCCATCAATTTACCAATGACTTTCTTCACAGAATTGGAAAAAACGGCTTTAAAGTTCATATGGAACCAAAAAAGAGCCCGCATCGCCAAGGCAATCCTAAGCCAAAAGAACAAAGCTGGAGGCATCATGCTACCTGACTTCAAACTATACTACAAGGCTACAGTAACCAAAACAGCATGGTACTCGTACCAAAACAGAGATATAGACCAATGGAACAGAACAGAGCCCTCAGAAATAATGCCACACATCTACAACTATCTGATCTTTGACAAACCTGAGAAAAACAAGCAATGGGGAAAGGATTCCCTATTTAATAAATGGTGCTGGGAAAACTGGCTAGCCATATGGAGAAAGCTGAAACTGGATCCCTTCCTTACATCTTATACTAAAGTTAATTCAAGGTGGATTAAAGATTTAAATTTTAGACATAAAACCATAAAAACCTTAGAAGAAAACCTAGACAATACAATTCAGGGCATAGGCATGGGCAAGGACTTCATGTCTAAAACACCAAAAGCAATGGCAACAAAAGCAAAAATTGACTAATGGGATCTAATTAAACTCAAGAGCTTCTGCACAGCAAAAGAAACTACCATCAGAGTGAACAGGCAACCTACAGAATGGGAGAAAATTTTTGCAATCTACTCATCTGACAAAGGGACCTATGACTTTCTTATAACCAAGAGAATATGGCAGAGGTGATGGGATGTAGTGATTATGTTAGATAGGATGTGAAGTTGTCTTGCTAGGAGGCTGTCTTGCTGGCTTTGAAGATGTGAGCTGCCATGTCATGAGTGGCCAGATGGAGAGGCCCACGTGGCAAGAAGCTGAGGGAAACAAGAAACTGGGGCCCTGAGTCAACCTGCAAGGAACTGAATTCTGCCAACAACCAGATGAGCCGGGAAGCAGATCAATCACCAGTCAAGCCTCCAGATGAGAACCGAGCCCTGGCTGACACTATGGCTGCAGCCTTGCACTGAACCCAGCTGAGTCACGCCTGGTTTCCTGACCCACAGAAACCACGCAGTGATAACTGTGTGCTGTCTCAAGCCACAAAGTTTGCAGTAATATTGTTGCACAGCAACAGATAACTAATATAAAAACTGTCTTACATCATGTACATTTCTGAGGGAAATGTAGAACCTGGATTTGAGCTCTGATTTCAGAGTTGTGGTCTCAGTCTCCCCAGGGAGACCTGTCCTGGGAGACAGTTATGCCAGGCTGTGATGCTGTGATGATTGTTCTCTTCCTACCCAGAAGCTTTCAATAGGCATGTCAAGCATGTGACCCCAGCTACATATACCAAATGTATTTCTGACAAATGCCAGGACATCGTGAACTTTCTTGTTTTACTGAGAGCTCCATAAAGGAAGGACCATCTCTGTCTTTTTTTTTTTTTTTAAGAGTCTCACTCTGTCACCCAGGCTGGAGTGCAATGGTGTGATCTCGGCTCACTGCAGTCTCTCCCTCCTGGGCTCAAGGGATTCTCCAGCCTCAGCCTCCTGAGTAGCTGGGATCAAAGGCGTGCATCACCACACCCAGCTAATTTCATATTTTTGGTAGAGATGGGGTTTTGTCATGTTGGCCAGGCAGATCTTGAACTCCTGGCCTCAAGTGATCTGCCTACCTCAGCCTCCCAAAGTGCTGGGATTACAGGCGTGAGCCACTGCACCTGGCCTGTCTTTTTTATGCTATGTCCATGCGCGACGGCCCAGTGGTCAGCACACAAAGGGGTCCAAATGTGAAAGGAAAGGGCAAACACAGGGGAAACCTAGGGGTGTTCAGAAATAGTTCCCAGGTCACTGCCTGTTTCAATATGTACAGTCCTTGGCCCCACCCACAAGATTCCGACTTGGCAGGTCGGAGTTGGAGATGCGGAGCTACCTGGTTACGAGGGATCCCAGTGCATTTTGAGGCAGCTGGTTGTTAGACTGCATTATAAAAATTACCCCCAAAGATGTGAAGGGAAACAGAAAGGCAAAGCCAGGCTAGAAAACAATACAAGTAAAACATGAACAAGTTCATTCCAGAAGGAGATTCTCAACCACAGCTGCACGTCAGAATCAGCTCGGGAGATTTTAAAAACCCAGTGCCCAGGCTCTGCATCCCAGATCAATTATTACAGAATCTCCTGGGGATGAAACATGGGCATCAGCATTTTGTGTGTGTGTGTGTGTGTGTGTGTGTGTGTGTTTTTGAGATGGAATCTTGTCATGCAGGCTGGAATGCAGTGGTGCGATCTCAGCTCACTGCAAACTCTGCCTCCTGGGTTCAACGCATTTTCCTACCTCAGCCTTCCGAGTAGCTGGGATTATAGGCATGCACCTCCACGCCTGGCTAATTTTTGTATTTTTAATAGAGATAGGGTTTCACCATGTTGGCCAGGCAGGTCTCAAACTCCTAGCCTCACGTGATCCTCCCGCCTTGGCCTCCCAAGTGCTGGGATTACAGGCATGAGCCATTGCTCCTAGCAGTATTTTTTTAATGAGGCAAAATTCACATAACATACAAGTCCCTGTATGAAACCATACACTTCAGTATCATTAAATACATTCACAACGTTAAGCAATCATCATCTCTGTCTAGTTCCAAAACATTTTCATTAACACCCTCTGCCCCCCCAAAAAATAACCCTGTATCCATCAAGCACTCTCCATCCCCTCCCCTTTCCCCCAGCTCCTGGCAACCACTTACCTGCTTTCTGCCTCTATAGATTTGACTATTCTGGACCTTTCACATAAATGGAATCATGTAATATATATAATAAGCAAAAGGTAACAACAACCAAGCTGGCAATTTGGTTGATGAATGAATAAACAAAATGTGCTGTATCCATACAGTGGAAATATTGGTGCCTACTACATGTGGATGGACCTTGGAAACATCATGCTGAGTGAGAGAGAGCCTTGGTATTGTCTCATCTCCCCAGGAGATTCCAAGGTGCAGCCAAGGTTGAGACCCACTGACAAGCAATGGATATGGTTGGGTGCAGATGAAATAAGGCAGCCAGGGGCAGGAGGGATGTCTCATTGAAGATGACTGTTTGTGGATGCCTAGCAGGGGTGGGGATGAGGTATGATAACAGCAACCCCAATCTCAACACAGCGTGACCGATTTTATCTTCAGTCAGCTGATACACCTCATGGGGTGTGGACACAGGACACCTCTGCCTCCCAGGTTCAAGCGATAATTCCTGCCTCAGCCTCCTAAGTGGCTGGGATTACAGGCATGTACCACCACGCCTAGCTAATTTTTATATTTTTAGTAGAAACACGGTCTCGTCATGTTGCCCAGATTGGTCTCAAATTTCTGGCCTCAAATGATCCACCCACCTCAGCCTCCCAAAGTACTGGGATTACAGGCATGAGCCACAGTGTCCAGCCTCCAAATTCTATTTGAAGTTTGACTTTCCACCTCCAGAAAATCCAAACCTTTGCCCAAGTCACAGTGGGACACCCCGGAGTTAATTTGAGAGAAATGTGTTTTTAAAAACGACTCCAGGCCAGGCGCAGTGGCTCACACCTGTAATCCTAGCACTTTGGGAGGCCGAGGTGGACGGATCACGAGGTCAGGAGATCAAGACCAACCTGGCTAACACGGTGAAACTCCGTCTCCACTAAAAATACAAAAAATTAGCCGGGCATGGTATCACATGCCTGTAAGCCCAGCTACTCAGGAGGCTGAGGCAGGAGAATCGCTTGAACCAGGGAGTCAGAAGTTGCAGTGAGTCGAGATCGCGCCACTGCACTCCAGCCTAGTGACAGAGACAGATTCCGTCTCAAAATTAATAAACAAATAAAACCCTCCGATATGAACACCAAACTAGAATCACTCCATTGACTTCCCTCTGCCAAGCAGGGGGAGTGATGGTGATGTTGCATGAGTGTCTATTTGCATTGAGTCTTAATGGAAAATAAGGTTGTGTCACTCAAAGGAAAAACAAATCACAGCCCAGACTGGAGCTGTGGATGAATAACATGGCTGAGTGTTGGTACAGGCTTTCCACAGCAATATTAAAACTGAAAAAATCAGCAATGAAGCTCCCAGCCACATTTCTGCCTAATGATTTGGGGGAAAACAACAGAGGCACGCCTCAACTTTTCCTTCGCTGCACAAAGTGGGTTTGGCTGGAAATGCCAAATGTGTTTGTTGCTGGGATCTTTCAAATGAAAGCAAGCTGGGAGTCAACCTCCTGCAGCCGCAGGCCAGAAATGGGTTGAGACCAAACTATTATAGTCACACTGGTGCACATCTAAACAGATTTAACTCCCTCACAACAAGCTAGATTAATTTAATATGCTTTCTTAGTGGCATTCCGCATTTCTCATTAAAGCAAATGAACGTCCATCTCTCTGTGATAAATTAGGGCAAAAAAAATTCATATGTTTAGGGCATAGGGAAGGAGGAGTTGTTGGCTGGTAAAAAAAAAAAAAAAAAAAAGTACTGCAAATGGCCTTTCAAAGTCTAGACATCTTCATCATAAACACAAACATTCCTCTTCACAAAGGACCTCAAGTAACCTTAGGCTGGAGGGCCCACCTGCGTATGTTTTTCTTCTCATTCTTTCTTACCTTCCCTCCAGCCCACCCAGCCCACATTCAGTGACCAAGTCACGTGGGTTTTACCTCCTAAATCTTTCTCAGATCCGTTCACTGCTCAGCCACTCTCCTGACACCACCATAAACCAAGCCACCATCACCTCCAGCTGTCTGACTGCAAATGCCTCCTGACTGGCCTCTGTTTTCCCCTGGCCCTGTGACATTCTGCACTCCTCACAGGGACCAAAGCAATCACTTCAGAAGGTGCATCTAAACAGATCACTCACTTTCAATGGCTCCCACTGCTCTGTGGGTTAACAATGATAAAAGCTTGGCCAGGCGCAGTGGCACATGCCCGTAATCCCAGCACTTTGGGAGGCCGAGGCGGGTGGATCACGACGTTAGGAGATCCAGACCATTCTCGCTAACATGGTGAAGCCCGTCTCTACTAAAAATACCAAAAAATTAGCCGGGCGTGGTGGCGGGCGCCTGTAGTCCCAGCTACTCGGGATTCTGAGGCAGGAGAATGGCGTGAACCCGGGAGGCGGAGGTTGCAGTGAGCCGAGATCGCGCCACTGCACTCCAGCCTAGGCGACAGAGTGAGACTCCGTCTCAAAACAAAACAAAACAAAACAATGATAAAAGGTCACCTTTACTGAGCACACACTATCTCGGTCCATCCCTACATCAGCCCTTTATTTCACCAGTGGGGAAGCTGGGACACAGAGTAGTTACGTGGGATGCCCAAGGTGGGACCACTCCTATGAAGTTTCAACACCCTAATGTGAGATCCTCCATGACCTAGCCCCTCTCTTTCTCCAGCCTCATTTCCTGATTCTCTCGCTTGCCCTGCAGGCTTCAACCACACAAACTTCTTGAAAGTACCTTAAATCTGGCTGAGCGCAGTGGCTCATGCCTGTAATCCCAGCACTTTGGGAAGCTGAGGCGGGTGCATCACCTGAGATCAGGAGTTCAAGACCAGCCTGGTCAACATGGTGAAACCCCATCTCTACTAAATATCCAAAAATTAGCTAGGTGTGGTGGAGGGCGCCTGTAATCCCAGCTACTCGGGAGACTGAGACAGGAAAATCGCTTGAACTCAGGAGGCAGAAGTTGCAGTGAGCCAAGATCACACCACTCCACTCCAGCCTGGGCGTCAAGAGCGAAACTCCGTCTCAAAAAAAAAAAAAAAATTAAAAGTCCCTTAAATCTGCTCTATGCCTATCAACCTCAGGGACTTCACTATGCTGTTCCTCACCCTGAAATGCTGTTCCTCATTTTCTGCCTAGTGAACTCATCCCACCCCCTACGCCTCTCCTTAAGTGTCATCTCTTCAAGGAAGATTTTACTTTTTTAATATAACTATTAAAATATAATTCGGGTACTGTATGATTTGCCCATTTAAAGTGAACAAATCAATGGTTTCAGTGCATTCACAGAGCTCGGCAACCACCATTATGATCAATTTTAAAACATTTTCATCACCCCAAAAAGAAACCCTGTATCCATGAGCAGGTACCTGCCATTTCCTCCTCCCACTAAGCCCTGACAATCTACTTTTTTTGAGATAGAGTCTCTGTCACAGGCTGGAGTGCAGTGGCACAATCTCGGCTCACTGCAACCTCTGCCTCCTGGGTTCAAGCAATTCTCCTGCCTCCCAAGTAGCTGGGATTACAGGCTTGTGCCACCACACCCATCTAATTTTATATTTTTAGTAGAGACAGGGTTTCTGTCTTCATAGATTTGCGTGTGCTGGACATTTCATATAAATGAAATCTTATAATATGTGACATTTAGTGACTGGTTTCTTCCACTTAGCATAATATTCTCATGGTTCATCCTTGTTGTAGCACGTGTTAGTACTTCATTCCTTTTGATGACTGAATAATATTCCATTGCATAGTCAAACCATGTTCTACTTCTCCACTCATCAGTAGACAAGCATTTGTGTTGTTTTCACTTTGGCGTTATTGTGAATAATGCTGCTATGAGCATTTGTGTACAAGTTTCTGCATAGACATATATTTTCATTTCTTTCATAAACTGGAGTGGAAGTGCTGGGTCATAGAACTCTGTGTTTAAGCTTTTGAAGAAATGCCAGACTGTAAGAAAGAAAGCCTTTCCTGACCCTGCGAGACTGAGCTCCCTCTCTCCATTTATACGTTCTCTTTATGCCCTTTGCTTCTCTTTCAGAGCAATTCACGTTGATCTGGGTCACCCTCAACTTAAGGCTCATAACTCCCCTAGACCCTCAGGGCCCACACTAAATGTGATGAAATAGGATGCAAGCCACATATTTACTTTTGCATTTTGTAGTAACCATATTTTAAAAAGTAAAACAAAAGAAGTGAAGGTAATTGGAATAATATCACAGATTTAAATAAATCTATCCAAAATACCAGGTCTACATGTATAAACTATTTTAACATTAACACAATGTTTTCTTTTTATATTAAGGCCTCACAATCTAATGTGTATCTGACACTTCTCACACATCTCAGTATGATGGCAGCACCCCATATGGGAGGCCCTCCCATGATGCCAATGATGGGCCCTCCTCCTCCTGGAATGATGCCAGTGGGACCTGCTCCTGGAATGAGGCTGCCATGGGAGGCCACATGCCCATGATGCCTGGGTGCCCAATGATGAGACCTCTTGCCCATCTCATGATGGTGCCCAGTTAGCCCAGAATGACTTGACCAGACAGATAAGGATAGAGGGGAGGCCTCATTACATCAGTGTTGTTTTTTTGTTGTTGTTGTTGTGTGTTTTTTCTTTTGTTTTGTTTTTGAGACAGAGTCTTCCTCTGTCGCCCAGGCTGGAGAGCAGTGGCACGATCTCAGCTCACTGCAACCTCCACTTCCTGGATTCAAGTGATTCCCCTGCCTTAGCTTCCTGAGTAGATGGGACTACAGGCATGCGCACCATGCCTGGCTAATTTTTTTTATTTTAGTAGAGACAGGGTTTCACCATGTTGGCCAGGATGGTCTCAATCTCCTGACCTCATGACCTGCTTGCCTCAGCCTCCTAAAGTGCTGGGATTACAGGCGCGAGCAGCTGCGCCCGGCCTATATGACTTTATATTTACCTGCTCCCTTCACCAGGAGATCATGGGCTGTGATGCTGGGTTTTCTTAACAGCATAAGGAAGACTTGCCCCCTTGCCCTATCAAAGAGAATAGTTTTGGAGGGGAGAAGTGGGACCAAAAAAGATGCAGTTTTCATTTGTATTGGGAAATGTGAAAATAAAATTGTCAATTCTTTTAGTTAAAAACAAAAAAAAAAAGAAAAGGAAACAAGATGTGGGGCTGCCATATGCAATACCATGGATTCCAAGGATCTTCTACTCTGGAGGCAAAGATTATCTTTGCTGAAGCCAGACCAACCTGACCCAAAGACCTTTTGTTTTTTTAAAGTGACTGTGTTTTATTTTACAATGTGTAATTCACTTTAGAAGGGCAAAGTACCTGTCTGGGAAAGACTATTTAATTTCCTGCATTTATTTAGAATGTTGGCTGATATTATTATGAAGGGAAACAGCTCTAACAAGTGAGTGCCCCCCACATAGACACAGCTCATGAGTTCACGGGGCAAAGGAATTGAACAGCAGCTTCCTAATAGCCGGCCTTCTTTGTGGTATGGAAATAATTATCAGCATGTAAAAGACTATACATATATTCAACAATTCTGACCCCCTGCAAAATTCAAATCTACAACTGATTTGCTTCCTGGGCTCCTGAAAACAACTTTGTCAAAATTGTTCAGAAATAAAATCAGCCAATCGTTGCCCCTTGGGGACGCAGGACAAA
The DNA here is from genome assembly GCF_000001405.40 of Homo sapiens. NCBI lineage: Eukaryota > Metazoa > Chordata > Mammalia > Primates > Hominidae > Homo > Homo sapiens. Next base: position 155,285 of record NT_187537.1, on the reverse strand, counting down.
GCAAGTCAGCCATGACCAATGTGGAGTCGGCCGTACACAATTACATGCAGACCTGCAGGACATCGAGTCCCTGCTATGGTCCCTCCCCAGTCAGGCCCCCATTGCCTGGGCTGCAGCCAGAAGGATTCAGGCACAAGTGCATTCAACAAATACTTATTTAATTGTATTGGTGGTTAGAGTGTTGCCGTTGATTAAGGTACATTAATGGATCCATGTCCTCCCTGTAACCAAGACTCTGCCATTTGTCTCTGCAGCTCCTCCCACTGAAGAATTGGAGTATATTTCTCCAGCCCCTAATGTTGCATTTAGTCACATGTCTAGCTTTGGCCACTGGAATATTAATCTACATGACCAAAAACTTGGAAAGTGTGCATTCATTTGTGCTCACTCACTCCTGCTATCACCAAAAGAACAAGCCCAGGCCAGACTGCTGCTTCCAGCAGAAGATAAGAGACACCAAGAGCAAAGTCAAGCTTCCCAGACACGCTCATGCCAGATTAACCAATCCTCAGCTGACCCATAGATCCATGAAAATAAACAATTGTTGTATTAAGCCACTGAGATTTGGAGTGACTTGTTATGCAGCATTTTGTGACAACAACTAACTGATACAAGGGTCACCATCCTTTATCTCTGTAGATTTTAACCAATTTTTAATAGCTAATTGGAGATCTTCTAGTTGCCTTTATTTATAATGAATACGACTGTAGAGCTAGTTTGGCCTGACACTACCAGTAACCTACCCAGAAATTCAGAAATACTTTCTTCTCCAACCTCCCCAACCAACCTTTTTGTTTGTTTGTTTGTTTCTGGGTTCTCCCCCTTTGCCTAGGCTAGAGTAGAAGTGGTACAGTCAGAGGCAAACAGTTTGCCACTGTAACCTCAAAATCCTGGGCTCAAGTGATCTTCCCCTTCAGCCTCCTGTCTAGCTAAGACTACAGACATGTGCCACCATGCCTGGCTAATTTTTTTATTATTTGCAGAGACAGGGTCTCACTATATTGCCCAAGTTGGTTTCAAACTCCTGGCCTCAAGCAGTCCTCCTGCCTCATCCTCCCAAAGTGCTAGGATTATAGGCATGAGCCACCACACCCAGCCTCTTCTTCTTTTTAAATAGAAACCCTATTTTATTCTGACAGTGGGTTGCTTTCTTTTTTTTTTTTTTTTTAAGAAAAAGTTGGCCCAGCCCCAGGGAATAAATCGTGACTGTTCTAAACAGGGTTGGCAAACTATAGACCAAGGGCCAAATCTGGCCCTCTGACTGTTTGTATAAATTAAGTTTTACTGGAATAAACCCAGGTCCATTCATTTATGCCTTGTCTACATATGCTTTTAGGCTATGATGGCACCACTGCGTCACTGCAACAGAGGTTATCTAGACCAAAAGCCTAAAATATTACCGTTTGCCTCTTTATGGAAAAAGTTTGCCATTCCCTAGTCTAAGGTTTAGATTCTGAGCTTATCATTTTAGCCTAATCCCCCTTACCAGTGACTGGCTCAAAACAAGTCTGTGATTCCATTCTGACAGTTCTACTGAGGGAATTCCCCCTTCTTCTCATGCAGAGCTGATGAGGGCAGTTTGTATTAATAGGACATATGCTCAGGTTTTCTGAAAAATACTTTTATCTAGAAATGCATAGGAATATGCTGAGGCCTGAGTGTACCATCTGGGGGCCTAGAGATTGACTCACCTGCCTCCAGAGCTAGCGCTCACACTTACTACTGAGAGGCCTGAGTAAACACCTGTCTACCCACCACCAGAACCTGCACACATCACCTGGAGAACTATAGATCAGACTGCCACACACGCCACCCAGGAGCCCAGTGGCGCACCTGCCCGCCTGGCCCAGTGCTGCCACTGCCAGCAACCAAAGAAGCCACCTGGGGGCCCAAGGATTGGCCCACGTAGACAGGCTATCATCAGTGCCCATATACACTGCCCATGGTCCCTAGTATTGACAAACCTGGTCCACCACCACTACCACTGATGCTGAAGGACAAGACTTCCTGGCATCCCCATCCTCAGCAAAGCCTCATCACAGCCTCAAATAACAACTGCAGTCTGGCCAGGTGTGGTGGCACACGCCTGTAATCCCAGCACTTTGAGAGGCCGAGGTGGGTAGATCGTGAGGTCAGGAGTTTGAGACCAGCCTGGCCAACATGGTGAAACCCCGTCTCTACTAAAAATACAAAAATTAGCTGGGCATGGTTGCACATGCCTGTAGTCCCAGCTACTCAGGAGGCTGAGGCAGGAGAATCACTTGAACCCAGGAGGCAGAGGTTGCAGTGAGCTGAGATTGTGTCACTGAACTCCAGCCTGGTGACAGAGCTAGACTCCATCTCAACAACCACACACAAAAAAAAAAAAAAAAAAACACAAAACTGCAGTCTAAGCCACTGAATGACTCACAGACACCACTCATGCCAATTACAGCTGAAGAAATCATATGCAGACTATGCCACTGTACCCACCCAGAATCAAAGCCAAAGTGTGATATCCAATGAATACTGTAGCTACAGCTATAAGAAAAGGTTTTCCCATATAAAAGCCAATCCATAAAATTGGAAGAAGTGACTGTTATGTCAAAGGCACAGATAGTCACATAAGGATGCAAGAAAGATGAAAAAGGAAACATAACATCTCCAAAGAAGCACAATAATTCTCCAGCAACAGATTCCAAAGAAAAGAAAATCTATGAAATGACTGAGAAAAATTCAAAATAATGTTATTAAAGAAAGTCAGGGAGATACAAGAGAACACAGATAATGAATATAAAAAGTCAGGAAAACAATTCATGATCTGAATGAGAAATTCAACAGAGATAGACAGCATAACAAAGAACCAAACACAAATCCTGGAAAAGAATAAATCATTGAAAGAAATACAAAAGATAATTGACAGCTTTAACAATAGACTAGATCAAGCAAAACAAAGAATTTCTGAACCTGAAGCCTAGTCTTTTAAAATAATCCAGTCAGACAAAAAGAAAGAAAAAAGAATGAAGGAAGGCTACATGATATATGGGACACATATGTGACCAAAAACTGAAATTCTGGGAGTTCTGGATGGAGACGAGATGGGTAAAGGCATAGAAAACCCATTTAATAAAATAATAACTGAAAACTTCCTGAAAGCTTCCAAATACAGGAAGCTCAAAGATTACCAAATAAATACAACTCAAAGAGATCTTCTCCAAGGCACATTATGGTAAAATTGTCAAAAGACAAAGAGAAAATGCTGAAAACAGCAAGAGAAAAGCATGAAGTCACTTAGAATCTCCATCAGGCTAACGGGATTTCTCAGCAGAAACCTTGCAGGCTAGGAGAAAAGGGGATGTATACTACAAGTAAAAAAAAGAAAAAAAAAATGTAAGCCAAAAATACTATACCCAGCAAAGATATCCTTCACAAATGAAGGAGCCTGGCACAGTGGCTCACATCTGCAATTCCAGAGACTCAGAAGGCTGAGGCAGGAGGATTATTTGAGCCCAGGAGTTCAAGGCTGCAGTGAGCTATGATCATGCGACTGTACTCCAGCCTGGGTGACAGAGTGAGACTCCATTGCTAAAAAAAGAAATACATAAATAAAAGAGAAAAAGAGTATTTCCCAGATAAGAAAAAGACTGTTTGTTTGGGTCTTGTTTGTTGTGGTCCTAGAAGAAATGCTTAAGGGAGTCCTACATTGGGAAGCAAGAGAACAATATCTACCATCAGGAAAATACATGAAAGTATAAAATTCACTGGCAGAGCAGACACACAAAGAAGAAAGGATTCAAACAACACCACTACAGAAAACCACCGAACTGCAACCATAAATAATGAGAGAAAAAAAGAACAAAGGTGTATTAGTCTGTTTTCACACTGCTGATAAAGACATACCTGACTGAGACTGGGCAATTTACAAAATAAAGAGGTTTAATGGACTTACACTTCCACATAGCTGAGGAAACCTCACAATCAAGTTGGAAGGCAAGAAGAAGCAAGTCATGTCTCACATGGATGGCAGCAGGCAAAGAGAGAGCTTCTGCAGGGAAACTACCCTCTTTAAAACCATCAGACCTTGTGAGATGTATTCACTATCATGAGAACAGCATGGGAAAGACCTGCCCCCATGACTCAATTGCTTCCCACCAGGTCCCTCCCACAACATGTGGGAATTCAAGATGAGATTTGGGTGGGGACACAACCAAACCATATCATTCTGTCCCTGACCCTTCCCTAATCTCATATCCTCACATTTCAAAACTAATCATGCCTTCCCAACAGTCCCCCAAACTCTTAACTAAGTTCAGCATTAACTCAAAAGTCCACAGTCCAAAGTCTCATGTGAGACAAGGCAAATCCCTTCTGCCTATGAGCATGTAAAATCAAAAACAAGTTAGTTACTTCCTGGATACAATGGGGGTATACGCATTGGGTAAACACAGTCATTCCAAATGGGAGAAAATTGCCAAAACAAAGCGGCTACAGGCCCCATGCAAGCCCAAAATCCAGTAGGGCAGTCAAATCTCAAAGCTCAAAAATGATCTTCTTTGACTCCATGTCTCACATGCAGGTCATGCTGATGTAAGAGGTGGGCTCCCATGGCCTTGGGAGAAAAAAGGCCACAGCCCCACTCCTGTGGCTTTGTAGGGTATAAACCCCCTCCTGCCTCCTTTCATGGGTTGGCATTGAGTGTCTGCAGCTTTTCCAGGCACACAGTGCAAGCTGTCAGTGAATCCACCATTCTGCGGTCTGGAGGATGGTGGCCCTCTTCTCACATCTCCACTAGGTGGCGCTGCAGTAGGGACTCTATGTGGGGGCTCCGACCCCACATTTCCCTTCTGCACTGCCCTAGTAGAGGTTCTCCATGAGTGCCCTGTCCCTGCAGCAAACTCCTGCCTGGACGTCTAGGCATTTCCATACATCTTCTGATATCTAGGCAGTGGTTCCCAAACCTCAATTTTTGACTTCTGTGCACCCACAGGCTCAACACTATGTGGAAGCCGCTAAGGCTTGGGGCTTGCACCCTCTGAAGCCACAGCCCATGTTGTACCTTGGCTCCTTTTAGCTGCAGCTGGAGTGGCTAGGACTCAGGAACCCTAGGCTGCTCACAGCAGGGGGGCCCTGGGTCCAGCCCACAAAACCATCTATTCTTCCTCTGGGCCTTTGATGGGAGGGGCTGCCATGAAGATCTATGACATGCCATGGAGACATTTTCCCCATTGTCTTGGGGATTCACATTTGACTCCTCCTTACGTAAACAAATTTCTGCAGCCAGATCGAATTTTTCTTGAGAAAATGGGATTTTCTTTTCAATTGCATTTTCAGGCTGCAAATTTTCCAAACTTTCATGCTCTGCTTCCCTTATAAAACTGAGGGCCTTTAACAGCACCCAAGTCATCTCTTGAATGCTTTGCTGCTTAGAAATTTCTTCTACCAGATACCCTAAATCATCTCTCTCAAGTTCAAAATTCCACAAATCTCTACAGCAGGGGCAAAAAGCCACCAGTCTCTTTGCTAAAACATAACAGGAGTCACCTTTGTGCCAGTTCCTGACAAGTTCCTCATTTCCATCTGAGACAACCTTGGCCTAGACTTTATTGTCCATATAACCATCAGCATTTTGGGCAAGTCTCTAGGAAATCTCTTCCAAATTTTCCCACATTTTCCTGTCTCCTTCTGAGCCCTCCAAACTGTTCCAACCTCTGCCTGTTTCCCAGTTCCAAAGTCACTTCCACATATTCAGGTATCTTTTAGCAACATCCCACTTCTGGTACTAATTTACTGTATTAGTCCATTTTCACACAGCTGATAAAGACACATTCAAGACTGGGAAATTTACAAAAGGAAGAGGTTTAATGGACTTACGGTTCTACATTGCTGGGGAGGCTTCAAAATCATTGCAGAAGTCAAGGAGAGGCAAGTCACATCTTACAGGGATGGCAGCAGGCAAAGAGAGAGCTTGAGCAGGGAAACTCCTCCTTTTAAAACCATCAGATCTCACGAGACTTATTCACTATCAAAAGAATAGCATGGGAAATACCTGCCTCCGTGATTCAACTACTTCCCACTGGGTCCCTCCCACAACACATGGGAATTCAAGATGAGATCTGAGTGGGGACACAGCCAAACCATATCAAAAGGATATACAAAATAACCAGAAAACAATGAACAAATTGACAGGAATAAGTCTTCACCTATCAATAATCACTTTGAATATGGGTTAAATTACCTACCTAAAAGATAGAGAGAGGCTTAATGGATAAAAAATGACCCAACAACGTCTACAAGAAACTCACTTCACTTGTAAAGACACACACAGACTGAAAGTGAAGGGATTGAAAAAGATATACCACACAAACAGAAATCAAAAGTAACCAGGAGTAGCTAAACTTACATCAGATAAAACAGACTTTAAGTTAAAAACTGTAAAAAGGACAAAGAAGGTCATTATATGGTAATAAAGGGATCAATTCTGCAACAAAGTATAACAATTCTAAATATGCATGCAACCAACACAAGCACATCCAGACACACATAGCAAATATTATTAAATCTACAGGGAAAGATAGAGTCCAATACAATGATAGTTGAGAACTTCAATATCCTACTCTCAGCATTGGACAGTTCATCTAGACATAAAATCAACAAAGAAACCTCAGATTTAAGCTGCACGTTAGACCAAATGGACCTAACAGATATTTTCAGAATATTTCATCCAGCGGCAGCAGAATATACAATCATCTCATCAACACATGGAACATTCTCCAGGAAAGACCATATGTTAGGACACAAAACAAGGCTCAACAAAATTTTAAAAATTAAAATCATATCAAGTATCTTCTCAGACCACAATGGAATAAAACTTGAAATCAATAAGAAGAAGAAATTTGGAAACTGTACAAATACATGGACATTAAACGTGCTATTGAATGATCATTGGATCGATGAAGAAATTAAGATGGATATCAAAAAATTTTTTTAAACAGAAAATGGAAACACATCATGCAAAATCTATGGGATACAGCAAAAGCAGTACTACAAGGAAAGTTTATAGCAATAAATGCCTACACCAAGAAAGTAGAAAGATTTCAAATAAACAACCTAATGATGAACCTCAAGGAACTCAAATAGCAAGAACAAACCAAACACAAAATTAGTAGAAAGAAAAAATAATAAATAACATAGCAGAACCAAATGCAACAGAGACAAAATAGAAATGCAAAGAATCAACAAGATAAAAGTTGGTTTTTTGAAAAGTTAAACAAAATTGAAAAACCACTAGTGAGGCTAACCAAAACAAACAAACAAACAAACAAACAAAAACAAAAAAGGAGACCTAAATAAATGCAATCAGAAATGAAAAATGAGACATTACAACTGTTACTAAAGAAATAAAAAGGATCATTAGAGGCTATTATGAACAACCATATGCTAACAAATTGGAAAACCTAGAGGAAAGGGATAAATTCCCAGACATACACAGCCTACCAAGATTGAACTAGGAAGAAACAGAAAACCTGAAATGACACAAAATGAATAGCAGGTTTGAATCAGTAACAAAAAGTCTCCCAAAAGAGAAAAGCCCTAGACTAGGCTTTTATGCTGATTTCTACCCAATTTATAAAGAAAAACAAACACCAATACTTCTCAAACTATTCCCAAAAATTGAAGAGGAGGGAATTCTTCCTAACTCATTGTATAAGGCCAGCATTACCTTGATATCCAATGAAGACAAGGACACAACAAAAAGAGAAAACTACAGGCCAATATTCCTAATGAACACAAATGGAAAAATTCTCAGCATAATACTACCAAGCCAAATCTAATGATGAATGAAAAAGATAATATACCATGATCAAGTGGGATTTATCCCAGGAATGCAAAGATGGCTCAACATACACAAATCAATACATGTGATACATCACATCAACAAGATGAAAGTCAAAAACTATCTGATCATCTCAGCAGATGCAGAAAGAAAAATCACTCGGTAAAACTTACCATGCCTTCATGATGAAAACTCTCAACAAATTATGCATAGAAGGAACACTTCAACATAAGAAAAGGCATATATGACAAATCTACAGCTAACTTCCTACTCACTGGGAAAAATTGAAAAGCCTTTCCTCTAATAACTGGAAGAAGACAAGGATGCCCACTTTCACCACTCTTATTCAACACAGTATGGGACATCCAAGCCAGAGTGATAAGATAAAGAAATAAAAGGCATCCAAAATGGACAAGAGGAAGTCAAATTGTCTCACTTTGCAGATGACATAATCTTATACTTGTAAACAGAAAAACCTAAAGACTCCACCAAAAAACTCTTAAAATGGGTAAATTAGGCTGGGCATGGTAGCTCATGCCTGTAATCCCAGCACTTTGGGAGGCCAAGGTGGGCGGATCACCTGAGGTTGGGAGTTTGAGGCCAGCCTGGTAAACATGGTGAAACCCTGTCTCTAATAAAAATACAATTAGCCAGACATGGTGGTAGGTGCTTGTAATCCCAGCTACTTGGGAGGCTGAAGCAGGAGAATGGCTTGAACCCGAGAGGTGGAGGTTGCAGTGAGCCAAGACTGCACTACTGCACTCCAGCCTGAGCAACAGAGTGAGACTCTATCTCAAAAAATAAAAAATAAAAAATTTTGTAAAGAACGGATGTATAATTCAGTAAAGCTTCAGGACACAAAATCAACATACAAAAATCAGTAATGTTTCTATATACCAGTAACAAACTAGCTAAAATAGAAATCAAGGAAGAAATTCTATTTACAATAGCTACAAAAATAAAATGCCTAGGAATAAACTTAACCAAGGATGGGGAAAAAAAAAACCAAAAAAACTCTACAATGAAAACCACAGAACACTGATAAAATAAATTGAGAAGGACAGGAACAAATGGAAAGGGATCTCATGCTCGTGGGTTGGAATAACTAATACTGTTAAAATGACCATGCTACCCGAAACAATCTAGAGATTCAGTATAATCCCTATCAATTATATTCTTCACAGAAACAGGAAAAAAAATAACCCTGAAATTCATATGGAACCACAGAAGACCCCAAGTAGCCAAAGCAATACTGAGCAAAAAGAACAAAGCTAGAAGCCTCACACTACCTGATTTAAAAATATACTGCAAAGCGGCCGGGCGCGGTGGCTCATGCCTGTAATCCCAGCATTTTGGGAGGCCGAGGCGGGTGGATCACAAGGTCAGGAGATCGAGACCATGCTGGCTAACATGGTGAAACCCCGTCTCTACTAAAAAAAAAAAAAAAAAAAAATTAGCCAGGTGTGGTGGTGGGTGCCTGTAGTCCCAGCTACTCGGGAGGCTGAGGCAGGAGAATGGCGTGAACCCGGGAGGCAGAGCTTGCAGTGAGCCAAGATCGCGCCACTGCACTCCAGCCTGGGCGACAGAGCAAGACTCTGTCTCAAAAAAAAAAAAAGTGTATATATACACACGTATATATATACGTGTATATATATACTTATATGTGTATATATACGTGTATATATATATGTGTGTGTATATATATATATACACACACTGCAAAGCTATAGTAACCAAAAAAGCGTGTATTGGTATTAAAACAGACACAAAAACAAAGGAAACAGACTAAAGAATCCAGAAATGAATCCACATATTTACAGCTAACTGATTTTCAAGAAGCTGTCAAGAACATACATTGAATAAAGGACAACCTCTTCATTAAATGGTGCCAGGGAAACTAGATATCCAAACACAGAAGAATAAAACTAGACCCTTATCTCTCATCACTTACAAAAATAAACTCAAAATCAATTAAAGACTTAAATGTAACAGCCACAACTATGAAACTACTAGAAGTAAACACAGGAGAAACGCTTGAGAACAAAGATTGTATGGCTAACACTTAAAAAGTACAAGCAACAAAAACAGACAAATGGGATTATATTAAACTAAATACCTTCTGCATATCAAAGAAAGCAATCAACAGAGTGAAAAGACAACACCCCTCCCTTACACCATACTCAAAAATTAACTCAAGATGGCTTAAAGACTTAAATGTAAAACCCATAACTATAATAACGCTGGAAGACAACTTAGGCAATACCATCCGGTACATAGTGATGGGCAAAGTGTTCATGGTGAAGATGCCAAACGCAATTGCCACAAAAGCAAAAATTGACAAATGGGATCTAATTAAATGAAAGAGCTCCTGCACAGCAAAAGAAACTATCAAAAAATAAACAGACATTTCTCAAAAGAAGATATACAAATCACCAAGTTTATGAGAAAATATTCAACATCACTAATCATCACGGAAATGCAAATCAAAACCACAATGAGATATCATCTCACACTTGTTAGAATGGCTATTATGAAAAAGACAAAGCACAACAAATGCTGGAAAGCATGTGAAGAAAAGAAAATTATTGTATGTTGTTGGTGGGAATGTAAATTAGTACAGCCATTATGAAAAAAAGTACAGAGATTTCTCAAAAAACTAAGAACAGATCTACCATATGATCCAGCAATCCCACTCCTGGGTATGTATCCAAAAAAAAGGATATCAGTGTATCAACGGGATATCTGTACCCCCATATTTACTGCAGCACTATTTACAATAGCCAAGATATGGAGTCAATCTAAGTGTCAATCAATCAATGGATGAATGGATAAAGAAAATGGGAACATATGCACAATAGAATAGTATTCAGCCATAAAGAAAATGAAATCCTGTCATTTTCAGCTAAATGGATGGAATTAAAGGTCATAAAGTTAGGTGAACTAGGCCATGCACAGAAAGAAAACTATTGCATGTTCTCACTTATATGAGCAGTTTATGCTCCTGGAAATCAAAGCGGGGGCCATGTTTCAGGTCAGTAGGGTCAGGGAGAGAGACCGCAGTTATGGACTTGTGTGCCCTGGAGCTATATAAAATTGATATCATGGAGATAAAGAGTAGAATGATAGTTAACAGAGGCTGGGAATAGGAAGTTGATTAATGGGTATAAAAAGAGGTTGATTCATGGGTATAAAAATATATAATAGAAGGAATAAGATCTAGGGTTCATTATCACAGAAAGTGACTACAACAATTTGTTGTATATTTCTTTTTTTTTAATTTCAATAGTTTTTAGGGAACAGGTGGTATTTGGTTACATGGAGAAGTTCCTTAGTGGTGATCTCTGAAATTTTGGCGTACCCATCACCAAAGCAGTTTACTCAGTGTATAGTCTTTCCTCTCTCACCCCCTCCCACCTTCCCCCTGAGCCCCCAACGTCCACTGTTTCATTCTTGTGCCTTTGCATCATCATAGCTTAGCTCCCACTTATGAGTGAGAACATGCAATGTTTGGTTTTCCATTCCTGAGTTACTTCATTTAGAATAATGGTCTCCAACTCCATCCAGGTTGCTATGAATGCCATTATTTCATTCCTTTTTAAGGCTAAGTAGTATTCTATGGTGTGTGTGTGTGTGTGTGTATATATATATATATATATATATATAACACATTTTCTTTATCCACTAATTGATTGATGGGCATTTGGGCTGGTTCTATAGTTTTGCAACTGTGAATTTTGCTACTGTAAACATGTGTGCAAAAGTATCTTTTTCATATAATGACTTCTTTTCCTCTGGGTAGATACCTAGAAGTGGGGTTGCTGGATCAAATGGTAGATGTACTTTTAGTTCTTTAAGGAATCTCCATACTGCTTTCCATAGTGGTGGTACTAGCTTACATTCCCACCAGCAGTGTAAAACCGTTCTCTTTCACCACGTCCATGCCAACATCCATTTTTGCTTTTTTTGTTTTTTGTTTGTTTGTTTGTTTTTGTTTTTTTTGAGATGGAGTCTCGCTCTGTCACCCAGGCTGGAGTACAGTGGTGCAATATCAGCTCACTGCAACCTCTGCCTCCCGGGTTCAAGCAATTCTCCTGCCTCAGCCTCCTGAGTAGCTGGGATTACAGGTAACCACCACCATGCCAGGCTAATTTTTGTATTTTCAGTAGAGACTGGGTTTCACCATGTTGGTCAGGCTGGTCTCAAACTCCTGACCTCCTGATCTGCCCACCTCGCCTCCCAAAGTGCTGGGATTACACGCGTGAGCCACAACGCCCGGCCCTATTTTTGTTTATTTTACACGTGGTATTGCATTGTGGTTTTGATTTGCATTTCCCTGGTAATTAGTGATGTTGAGCATTTTTTCATATGTTTGTCGGCCATTTGTATATCTTCTTTTGAGAATTGTCTATTCATGTCCTTGGCACACTTTTTGATGGGATTATTTTTTTCTTGCTGATTAGAGTTCCCTGTAGATTCTGGACATTAGTCCTTTGTCAGATGCAGTTTGTGAAAATTTTCTCCCATTCTGTGGGTGATCTGTTTACTCTGCTGATTATTTCCTATGCTGTGCAGGAGGCTTTTAGTTTAATTAAGTCCCATCTATTTATCTTTGTTTCTGTTGCATTTGCTTTTGGGTTCTTGGTCATGAACTGTTTGCCTAAGCCAATGTGTAGAAGCGTTTTCCAAAGTTATCTTCTGAATTTTTATGGTTTCAGACCTTAGATTTAAGTCTTTGACCCATCTTGTGTTGATTTTTGTATAAAGTGAGAGATGAGAATCCATTTTTATTCTTTTACATGTGGCTTGCCAATTATCCCAGCACTATTTGTTGTATAGGGTGTACTTTCCCTACTTTGTTTTTGTTTACTTTGTCGAAGATCAGTTGGCTGTTAAGTATTTGGCTTTATTTCTAGGTTCCCTACTCTGTCCCATTGGTCATGTGCCTATTTTTATACCAGCACCATGCTGTTTTGGTGACTATAGCCTTGTAATATACTTTGAAGTTGGGTAATGTGATGCCTCTAGATTGGTTCTTTTTGCTTAGTTTTCCTTTGGCTATGCAGACTTTTTTAGTTCTAAATGAATTTTGGCTTTTTTTTCTAGTTCTATAAAGAATGATGATGGTATATTGATAGGAATTGCATTGAATTTGTAGACTGCTTTTGGCAGTATGGTCATTTTCACAATATTGAGTCTACCCATCCATGAGCATGGAATGTGTTTCCATTTGTTTGTGTCATCTATTTCTTTCAACAGTGTTTTGTAGTTTTCCTTGTAGGGGTCTTTCACCTCCTTGGTTAGGTATATTCCTAAGTATTTTATTTTTACAGCTATTATAAAAGGGTTTGATTTGATTCTCAGCCTGGTAGATGTTGGTGTATAGCACTGCTACTTATTTGTGTACATAGATTTTGTATCCTGATAAATGGATTTATTGTATATTTCTAAATAGCAGTAAGATTTGAAATATTCCCAATACAAAGAAATGATCAATGTTTGAGGTGATTAATATCCTAAAGACCCTGATTTGATCATTACACATTGCGTGCATGTACCAGAATCTCACATGGACCCCATAAATGTGTACAATTATTCTCTATCTAAAACATTTTTTTAAGAAACATGCAGGAATACACTGTACCTCTTCCTTGCTGTCTCTGGATATTGTCACATGAGGACTTGACATGCGGATTGTGGCAGCCTCTGTGACCAAGAGCAGAAGACAATAGCAGCATGGAAACCTCAAATGAAAAACCTAACATCTCAAGCTACTAATTTAGCCAACCTTGGCATCAGCTATCTCTGGTCTTAGTACATGAGGTGATAAGCCCCCACTGTTCAAGTTGGGTGGACATCAATTGCTGCAGAATAGAAGTTAATGAGGTTTCCTCCTCCTGGATCCCCTACTAGACCCTGACATACCCATTCAGTCACAGGCAGAAAGGGAAGCAAAGGATAAGGAGACCTGGCTGGCTGTGCCAGACGCAGATTTTACCTGTCCTGCTTAAAACACTCAAAGCTCAATTGGTTAAACAAAAAAAGGAAAAAGACAGTAAGGAGTATAACACTACCCAGATGCAACTTAATCTAACACTCTATACTTTAAACTTTCTAAACATACATAGAAATCAGACCGCTACCTCTGCAGAACATTTTACTGGTAAAAAGAACAGCCCACATGAGGGAAAACTGATTTGGTGGAAAGACAACAAAAACAAAACATGGGAAATAGGGAAGGTGATAACATGGGGAAGAGGTTTTGCTTGTGTTTCACCAGGAGAAAATCAGCTTCCTGTTTGGATACCCACTAGACATTTGAAGTTCTACAATGAACCCATCAGAGATGCAAATGAAAATGCCTCCGCAGAGACAGAAAACCCGCAATCGAGCATCGTCGACTCGCAGGGTGAACAAAATGGTGATATCAGAAGAACCAATGAAGTTACCATCCACCAAGAAAACGGCACATGTGGAGAGCCAGGGAGAAGAATAGAAAGAAAAAGAGACAGAGATCAGAGACAGACACAGAAAGTGAGACTGGGGAGAGAGATAGTATAAAAGAGAGAGACTGTAAGAGAAAGGAGACAAAGAGATAAAAGGTGCGAGTGAACAGGTGAGGAGAAAGACCGAAAACTATGAGAAACAGCAACTAAGACACAAAGGAGGTGGGAGACTGCCTGGGTACTGCAGCACCCACACCGTCCTCTTGCCCCCTGTCACTTGGGTTAAAACCACTGGAAATTGCACTGTTGCAAATTTTGTATTAATCCTTGTATGTCTGTCCTTTCTATTGGTAGTTTACAGGTGTATCCAGCAGCTCCAGAGAGACAGCGACCAGCGAGAAGGGGCCATAATGATGGTGGCGGTTTTGTCAAAAAGAAAAGGGGGATATGCAGGGAAAAGAAAGAGAGATCAGACTGTTACTGTGTCTACATAGAAAGGGAAGACATAAGAGACTCCATTTTGAAAAAGACCTGTACTTTAAACAATTGCTTTGCTGAGATGTTCTTAATCTGCGGCTTTGCCCCAGCCAGTTTGACCAAACCACTTTGACCCAACCTGGAGCTAACAAAAACATGTGTTGTATGAAATCAAGGTTTAAGGGATGTAGGGCTGTGCAGGACGTGCCTTGTTAACAAAATGTTTACAAGCAGTAGACTTGGTAATACTCATCGCCAATCTCTAGTCTCAATAAACCAGGGGCACAATGCACTGCAGACAGTTGCAAGGACTTCTGCCCTTGAATGCTGGGTATTGTCCAGGGTTTCTCCCCATGTGATAGTCTGAAATATGGCCTCATGGGATGAGAAAGACCTGACGGTCCCCCAGCCCGACACCCGTAAGTCTGTGCTGAGGTGGATTAGTCAAAGAGGAAAGCCTCTTGCAGTTGAGACAGAGGAAGGCCACTGTCTCCTGCCTGTCCCTGGGAACTGAATGTCTTGGTATAAAACCCGATTGTACATTTGTTCAATTCTGAGATGGGAGAAGAACCGCCCTAAGGTGGGAGGCAAGACATGTTTACAGCAATGCTGCCTTGTTATTCTTTACTCCGCTGAGATGTTTGGGTGGAGAGAAACATAAATCTGGCTTACGTGCACGTCCAGTGATAGTAACTTCCCTTGAACTTCATTATGACATAGATTCTATTGCTCACATGTTTATTGCTGACCTTCTCCTTATTATCACCCTGCCCTCCTACTACATTCCTTTTTGCTGAAGTAATGAAGATAATAATCAATAAAAACTGAGGGAACTCAGAGACCGGTGCCAGTGCAGGTCCTTGGTATGCTATGCGCCGGTCCCCTGGGCCCACTGTTGTTTCTCTATACTTTGTCTCTGTGTCTTATTTCTTTTCTATCTCTCATCCCACCTGGTTAGAAATACCCACAGGTGTGGAGCGGCAGGCCACCCATTCATTATGAGATTACAGGCATGAATAACCCCACCTGGCCACCTAACTCACTCTTGAGAGGCCAGAAGTGATGCTGGAACTCTCTTCCTCTGTGGGTTAAAAAGGGAAAATTAGGGAGAACACAAGGCATGAGAGATGCAGCGATGGATATGTCTATATGGAGCTTCTGTCTGCATCCAGTAGAAAATGCATATGTAGGCACCAGGTTTAAGAGCGAAAACCTGGAGTCTTGTCTGTTAGCATTCTCCTTCCCCACAAACCTGAGAGGGAATACATTTGCTCCAGCACACCCGCATGTAGGAAATGTCACATTCCTATTTCTGTAACTTCAGTTAAATCTGCTCTGAGTCCCTGGATGCCTGGCAGGTGGAGAATTCAATCTTGTCGTTACCAGCATTCCTTCCACTTCTCCATGGGCTTATGTAAGAATTCTGGGCTTACACACTGTTGGAAAGCCAGGTAGGAACTACATCCCCCGAACTCTCCGTTCTTCCAGCTGCTCATGATCCATCAGCCTTTTTTGGGCTATCTTGCTATAACAAGACCCTCCTCACAGCATCATTCCACTGACCCACAGGCTCAGCCCCAGGGACCCACACTATAACAGGTCTCCACTATGCCTAGGAACTCACAAAAACCTTCTCTTCATCTTGGCTTCCTCTGATATCCAGCCACTCCCCCGCTTCTCACCTTAAACACAGATGGCAGCTCCTTCCCATCATTCTAAACCTTGGGGATTGTCCAGCCAAATTCTCTTCAGACACCAAAGCTTCACCCGCCCTCTTCAGGGAGATGATGCAAGGGCATCTGAGATCTTTGGAAGCCCAATTCTGGCCTCTCTTTGGGGTGGGCTGAGATTGGGAACTGGACTCTCTTTTCCAAGTGCCATGTTTATCTTATTCATCATAATATTATCTCCAATGCCTGGTACATAGTAGGCACTACAGACTGACACATAGTAGGTGCTATTAGTGTCTGTATAATGGGACTCTTGAGGTTGAAGCTATTAGCAGAAACCTGCCAAGCAAAAGGATGGAAAACCGACCACCAAAAAAAAAAAAAAAAAAAAAAAAAAATGAAAACAATCGTGGCTTTGAGCTCTAAACACACAAGGCACCAGCCCAAGTTTGGGCAATTTTAATACAACAGCCATTTTGCCTCCAAACAAACTGGCACTGGAAACCTCCCTCTGCCTCTTAAAGAGAACCAGTTTCTGTTTCTCTAAGTGGGCAGCATTTCTCCCCAGTGGCAGTACCCAGCCCACTGCCACCAGCAAAGGACTGCAGCCAGGAGCCAAGAGCTTGATAGTTTAAAGAATATATTTTATAGGGAAAAACAAAGTAACATCCACATAAATCTGGAACTACCACCACTTTCCAGAGGCCGAATCCCATTTGTGGAGTCTCTTGCATCTCAAGCACCTTGCAGTCAGCTCAACTACATACTTTTGGGATTCATTGCAGAGAAGAGTGAAGGTTATCTGCAAAATAAAGGAACCAGGGCTCAGAATTCCCAGAGCAATACATGACAGGGGAGGTGAGTAGAAAAGGGAAGGGTGAAGCCAAAGGAGAGAAGTCAATGAGTTGGCCAACACCAAGCAAGGATCATGGGACCCTCTCTATGGCCCCACATCTCAAATGAAGTCAACAAAACCCATCAATGCTTGGTGTAAGTGTTGTATGCTCCCGGAAATGAAAGCAGGGGCCACATTTCAGGTCAGTAGGGTTGGGGGTAGAGGCAGCAGTCATGGACTTGTGGGCCTTGGAGGATGGGATGATTCTGAGACATTGAATCCCTACACTGATCTCAGTAGAAATCTCAGGTAGGGCTTCAACATTCATGGACCAAGGACTCTGCAGGCCTGAGAGCAACAGCCTTGGTGCATGTCCCAGCTCCATCAATCTCAACTGGGGCTTTGAACAAGTTACTTATTTTTTTAACTAACGTTATTTTAATTGACAAATCATAATTGTACACATTTATGTGATGTTTTGATATGTGTATACAATGCGGGATGATTAGATCAAACTAATTAATATGTAGATCCCCTAATTTACTGACAATTTTTATGATGAGACATTTGAAATGTACCCTCTTAGTTATTTTGAAAGATACATTATTATTGACTATAGTCACGCTGCTGTGCTATAGATTTCAAAGCATATAATCCAACAACCCAACTTCTGGGTATAGACAAAAAAAATCGAAATCAATATGTCGAAGGGATCTCTACGTTCCTATGTTCACTGCAGCACTATTCACAATACCCAAGATGTAGAATCAACCTAAGTGTCCATCAATGGATGAAAGGATAAAGAAAATGTACTATATACACACAATGGAATACTATTAACCCTTAAAAAAGAAAGAAATCCTGTCATTTTCAACAACATAGTGAACTTGAAAGACATTCTGTTAAGTGAAATAAGCCAGGCACAGAAAGACAAATACTGCATGATTTTACTTATATGTGGAATCTAAAGAAGTTGAACTCACAGAAATAGAGAGTAGGACAGTGGTTATCAGGGGCTGGGGTGGAGGAAAGGTAGGGGATAGGAGACACTGGTCAAAGGGTACAAAGTTTCCAATAGGAAGAGTAAGTTTTGAACAAGCTAAACTCCTCTGAAAGCTCAGTTGCTCATCTGTAGAGCAGGGACACATCATTAACCTTCTAAGGATGTTGCTGTGAGAGTAAGAGATGATGTTCAGCACAATACCTAATGCACAGTCAGGTCTCCTTAAGCTTGAACCTGCATCGCCATGACCTCTACATCTCAGGACAGAAAGGCTCACAGCCAGTGTCTCAGTTCCCAGTGAAAAGTGGATCCCAGACCAGGCTGAACAGTAGGATCCCTAGGGGATACCCCACCCTACTGAGTCAGAATCACCAGAGGTAGAGCCTGGGTATGTATGTACGTGTGTGTGTGTGTATGTATATATATATATGTATGTATATATGTATGTATAAGAGACAGGGTCTTGCTCTGCAGTCCAGGCTGGAGTGCAGTGTCACAATCATAGTTCACTGCAGCCTCAAATTACTCCTGGCCTCAAGCTATCCTCCCACCTCAGCCTTCAGAGTAGCTGAGACTACAGGCGCATGCCACCAAGCCTGGATACTTTTTTTTTCTTCTTTCTTTTTGGAGAGAGTCTCACTCTGTTGCCCAGACTGGAGTGCAATGGTGCAATCTTGGCTCACTGCAATCTCTGTCTCCCAGGTTCAAGTGATTCTCATGCCTCAGCCTCCTGAGTAGCTAGGATTACAGGCATGCACCACCACACCAGGCTAATTTTGCTTTTTTCATTGTTGTTTCTTGTTTGTTTTTCACAAATAGGACTTCTTCTTTGCCACTGTTTTAAGTCTGAACTTTAAACGATTCTTGAACTGGTGGTTCATATCCATCAGCTCATTCAACTTTAGCATGTGTCTTGTCCCTAGTGGGTTTTCCAGAACTACTACCGTCACCACGAAGCTCCATGCCTTTCAAACCCAGGGTTCTCCAGCATTTTTACTTTTCTAATGAAGACATCATGGAGAGGATAAATTGGCAAGCCTTTTCTACATCTTTTCCAATGTTGTCTGGAATCAATTTATTGACCACTTCTTTCAAGTCATTTGTCTGCACCTCTCAAGTCATGATTTCCATCATATTCTTCTGGATTTGGCGGACTGTTAGTGCTGAGCATAAGACGTCTTCAGTATCTGATTGTTGTGTTTTTTAGTAAAACCAACACAAAACAGATGAAAGAAGTAACCATCGGTAGTCTTGACATCAACATGAGCTTCAATCATTGTTGAACAGTTTTCAAACATGGAACATATTTTGTCACAGGAAAGACCCATGCCATAGAAGTTAGTCAGGCAGTTTTTGCCCTGAACATCTTCAGTAATCAGCTTGAGTTTTCTAAATGCAACTTCATCATTCTGCACATCAGCAAGACTCACTTCAAACACAAGACCCTTGAGACCATCAGATGCAATTTGGGTTCCTTGGGTCCTGGTGACCAAGTCTTTCCAATATTTCCTATATTGAACATAGCAGGTGCTTTCACATCATACTGATCTTTCTTAGAAAATGGATCAATTATTTTCTTCTTAACTCCCTTTTTGCCACCTTTCATAAGGCACTTGTTCTTAACAACTGCCATGGTGCTGCTCAGAGTACCAAAAGGCTAAATTTTATATTTTTGGTAGAGACGGGGTTTCACCATGTTGGCCAAGCTGGTCTTGAACTCCTGATGTCAGGTGATCTGCCCGCCTCAACCTCCCAAAGTGCTGGGATTACAGGTGTGAGCCACTGCACCCAGCTGATATTTATTTTTTCTTTTTTTGTACAGACAGGGTCTTGCCATGTTGCCAAGGCTGGCCTGGAACTCCTGGCCTCAAGCAATCCTCCCACCACAGCCTCCCAAAGCACTGGGAATTCAGGTGTGAGCCACCATGCCCAGCCTGGAATCTATTTTTAAAGCCAATTAAGTGTTGAATAAAATTGCAACTTGGGCTGTTTTTTCTTTGCATTTTTTACATTTCAATGGTTTTTAATATATTCAGAGATATACACAAACATTACCAGTCAATTTTAGAACATTTCATGACCTCAAAAAGAAATCTCATACTCTTTAGCTAACACCCCCTATCCTCCCATGCCCCTACCAGCCCTAAGCAACCACTAATCGACTTCCTATTTCTATAGATTTCCATCTGAATGAAATCATGTAGAATGTGATCTTTCAGCTGTTTGAAGGTTCATCCACGCTGTAGCGTATGTAGTTTCCTCCTTTTTGTGATCAAATAATATTCCACCATGTGGGTAGACAACAATCGGTGTATCTCTTCATCTGGTGATGGGCATTTGGATTTTAGCAAAGTCCATTTAGAAAGCTCAATGCTTTGGGCTTCCACTTGCTTTGCTGCCTCTCTCCTCAGAAGGAGGCTTCATCCTTCCATGTAACCAGCAAATCCTTTATGCAGAGATGTACACAACACACTCCTCTCCTTGGCTATGACACCTTGAAAGGCTCCTCTTGGTGGCCCCTGGTGCTCATTTCAGAGTAGTTCTAATTAAGGTGATCAGCTTTCATGCCAATCACTCTACAAATCACTCTTATTATGACCAATTTTTCTAAATGCTTTATTGAATTATTACTTAAAGAAATGTGCACATAGAAGAAGTCAACACAGTACTTTTCTTACAAACTGAACATATTGCCCAGGCGCAGTGGCTCATGCCTGTCATCCCAGCACTTTGGGAAGCCGAGGTGAGCAGATTGCTTGAGCCCAGGAGCTCGAGACCAGCCTGGGCAACATAATGAGACCCCCTCTCTACAAAAAATAAATAAATACAAAAATTAGGCAACAGTGATGGCACATGACTGTAGTTCCAGCTACTCAGGAGGGCTGAGGTGGGAGGGCTGCTTGATCCCAGGAGGCAGAGGCTGCAGTGAGCCATGACGGTGCCACTTGCTCCACCCTGGGTGACAGAGCAAGATCCTGCCTCAAAACAACAACAACAACAAAACCTGAACATCTCCATATTTCCGACACTCAATTCAAGAAACAAAATATTAGAGCCCCTTCCAGGATATTCCTGGGGTCTCTTCCATCTCTACTAACCCCTGACTACAAACAGCCTCCACCTATTTCACCTGACATTGTACTTTATGAAAGCAGCAGTTCTCAGATGGGGCTATTTTGCCCCCTGGGGACATTAGGCAATATCTGGGGACAATGCGGTTTGTCTCTACTTGGGGGGGGTTGTGTTACTGCATCCAGTGAGTCCAGGGATCCAGGGATGCCGTTCAACATCCTAAAATGCACAGGGAACCCCCACACATAGAACAGAGAAATTGCTGAGCCAAAATGTCAGCAGTGTCACAGCTGACACGCTGACATACACACAATCACACAGTATCTGCTCTTTCGTGCTCAGGATCTCTTTCATTCTAATCATCTCATAGGAAACAGAAATGTCATTTGGAGGTAGGTAGAGTCCAAAACAAAGAAGATCCAGAGTTTTTTTTTTAATCAGCCTGGTGCCTTTAGAGCTAGGATTTATTTTCCATTCTTTCTGTCTCATTTTCAAGTGATTTTTCTTCAAATGGCATCTGCTGGGCTCAACACCCAGAGATCCCCACAAAGCTGAGATTCACATGGGAATTTTGTACACACCCACACAGGTATACACTGCCATTTACATGCAGACATCCACCCACAGATACACACATCCGGAGACCAAGACAGAAAGCAAACTCCAGCATAAAAGCATGGTTCCCCGAACAGGAGAAATGCACCATTCACTCCAGGGAGGTACCTATTTGTTTAATTCAGCCTCTGATAGTCAGGCTGTTGCCAAGCCCAGCTCTGAAAGTCTTCCCCTCTAGGAAAGAGAGATGGATTTTTTCTTTACTCAATAATATAGATCTAAAAAAAACAAACACTTCTGCATCTCAAAGCAGGCTCTACCTCCTGAGCTACACATATTGATCAGCATTTTATTGTCAATTTTCTTTTATTTGAACTGGAGAAAAATATAACCTAATTATGTTCTTACTGACACTTTGGAATCAGTTACACTAAATCCAATTCTCTGGGTTCTCATGCTTAATGTGTTTAATTTGGGGGACAACAAAGCAAAAGCATTGGTCGTGTTTTAATATAATCAGTACAGGATATATCTAAGGGGTTCAAGTATCACTGTAGCAAGAAGCTCATTCTGCAGTAAAAGGGGGATTCTGCCACTAGGATTGAGTTAGGGTGGTTCATGGCTGCACCATTTCATCAATGTCTCTTCAAGGGTCCATGGAATGTGGAATGGGAAAGACTGAAATATTCCAAGTCTTGGCTAAGCTTTTCTTAAGGGGTGTTAGGAGCTGATAAAATAACCTGGTCTTTATAGACATCCCACACTGTAGTTCTCTAAGCTACAGATTCTCAGATTTTTCTATTTTATAAACCAGTAAAAATATTTTTTTAATTTGAGAACCAACATAAGGTTGCAATTTTTTTTTCTTTTTGGTAAGAAGGAAATTTTTTAAACTACCAGTTTCACACACACACACACACAGAAATTCCAACATGATTGGTCAGAATAGGTGAGGTTTTGCTGCAATAACAAACAACTCCTAAATCTTGGTAACTTCAAACATCAGAAGTTGTTTTTCTCACTCATGCTACATCTGCAGGGAGGTATGGGATGCTCTGTTTTCCATCAAACCTGCCCTAAGACTAAGGCTAATGGGGGTTGCATTACCTCGAGTATCACCAAGCAGGGAACAGAGGGAGAAGAATGCTAGAGAGTCTTGTACTAAGAATTAAATGACCCAGGCTAGAAGTCTCACACTGCACCTCTGCCCCCAGCCTCTTGGCCAGTGCTAGCCACATCCCCTCCCCCACCACAGGGCAATGCATGAAGACAGGAGAATTGGATACATTACAAATTTCTACCCCATGGCATTTCATAAAAGAGAAAAAATGCAAATACAAAAATGTTTTAATAGAATAGAATATATACATTTTTAGAATACAGAACAATCCTCCAAAAAGGACAGCTGGTGGTCTTTCACCAATGGACACATTTCTGTGACATTTTCTCTGTTTTTCCATTTTATACTTGACCTATGAACATTTTGTACAGATGGTCCAAAGAACACCATTTGGGGACCACTGCTCTAATCAGGTGATGAAAACGGCCCCAAGAACAGAGCACAGTCTCTTTAGCAAAGACCCAGCAGGGCCAGGGTGACCATACTCTCACCATCAATGTGCAGATATCCACCTGCAGCATCCTCACATCCCATCAAACAGTGGCTCTTTATAGCTTGATTCTGATGTCCTTTGATCTTCATAATCATTGTAAAGCTCTCTGGCCCCAAGATCTAACATCGCCACTCTAGCTACATCCTGCAACTGTTCACCACTCCTGCCTCCTCATCCCTCTAGACTTCTCTTCACAACCTCATGTTTCCTTCTTGCTTTACTTTCCTGCTCAGCCTGGACCTTACAGTCACCTTCCTGTAATGTGCTCCTAAACTCTTTCTTCCCTGCTTTCAACCACACCCACCTGGAAAATTTCCATACCCCACTGATGACTTGCCTTGCAACTGCCCAAGGGCTGCTGAATGATACTGGAAAGAATCACAACATGGATCTGGTAGTTCCACTAAATAATCTCACCATCCAACTCTAGGGTAGACTTCACTTCTGTTCAGCAATATTTTTAAGCATTACAAATAAATTCCGAACCATATTTGCTATAACAATTGACTTTAAACCTCTTCCATATCTCAAAGTCCCCCAAACCCATCCCTAGGGGTTTCAGGGCCCAGAGTTGAGTTCTCTCAACTCACTTCCATCTCACCCCTAGATCACTGTATCTTGACCCTCTTCCTCTGCCTTTCCCATCTTATAAGGAGAAGCATCCTTCTCCTTTCCCAAGCTACCTTCTCCACTTGTGCCTCATTTGAGACCTCCCTTTATCACCCGTTTCCTTGGAACTCCCATGACTCACCACCTTCACTTGTCATTTCACTCATAAATATTTTGCACCATGTATGTGCCAGGCGTTTAACATATAATCATGCTAAAGTCTCCACATGCTAACAAGAAAAACCTTGATTATCCCTGCTATGCCCTCAAGTCATTACCCTCCCCGCTCCTTTCCTGTGTTCCCAAACTTTGTTGATCTTCATCAATCCCTCTGATGCAGATGGCTCTGAAGTTTGCACCCTATTAGGTTGGTGCAAAAGTAATTGCGGATTTTGCCATTAAAAGTAATGGCAAAAATAGCAATTATTTTTGTACCAGCCTAGTATCTTTTCTCCTTCTACCAAACTTTGTCCCTGAGCCATCTCATCACCTATAACTACCTCCTCCATGCAGTTGATTCCCAGATCTGTATTATTCTACTGAAAATCCATTCCCCAACTTTCTTGGCTAGAATAACAGAAGCCCAGTTAGAATTCATGATACCAGTTTCCCACCACCACCACCGTCGCCCTGCCATTGTTAGCAAAACCATCTCTTGAGTGGAGCTCAAAGATTTGTAATCCCCCACTCCCCAGAAAGATAACTTCAGACTCAGCCTAGAAGTAAAGATCCTCCAGATATGGCCTCAACTACCCTCCAACCCATGTCCCCAGTGCATCCCTTTGATGCCCACTTCGGTGGAGTTAAAACGGAGTGAGTGTTTTTCTTTTCACATACTCCTGGTGTTCTTCCACAAATACAATTTTCACCTCTTGAATATTTTCAAGGATTCTCTATGCTACACACAGTGAAATCCAAACTCCCCATCAGGACCCCAGTCTTCCCAAATGCTCTTTGCACTTTTCCACCTCCATGCTTTTCCTTGGATCATCCTCTTCTCTAATATAACCTTGTGTATTACTCTAGGTTCTCCAGAGAAAGAGCAGAGAGATAGAGGTAGAGCTATACACATAGAGAGAGACAGATTGTTTTGTTGTAAGGGATGGCTCACATGGTTATGGAGGCTAAGGAGTCCTGGAGTCTGCAGCCAGCAAGCTGGAGACCCAGGACAGCCAATGATATAGTTCCAACTCGAGTCCACATCTAAAGTCAGGAGAAGATTGATGTCCCAGCTCAAATATAATCAGGTAAAAAGAGCAAATTCTCTGTGACTCTACCTTTTTGTTTTGTTCAGGTCTTCAGTGGATTGGATGAGGCTCACCCATATTGGGGAGGACAATCTGCTTTATTCAGTCTACCAATTAAACATTATCCTCATCCAGAATACCTCAGAGACACACCCAGAATAGTGTGTAGCCAAATATCTAGGCACCCCACAACCCAGTCAAATTGATACATAACACTAACCATCATGTCTTGCTTCTACTCTCTCCCCATTACTGCATGTCCAAATCCTTCCCTTATTTCAAGGCTTAGTTCAAATGTTACCTCTTAACTAAGCCTTCCCTGCAAACCCCAAATATTAATAGAATTGGTTTCTCCCTTCTCTGATATCTCAAAATACGTTGTGTGTTTCTCTTTTACTGTATTTATTACAAACTCCCTTATAAATCAAGACAATGATTCCCAGACAAATTATCAGAAGAGTATAAAAGAAGTCTTCTTTGAGTGTGAAATATCTCATGGAATATAGCACATGGCCTCTTCACGAAGAAACTACTAGAAGAGAAGAAGACAAGCTGGAAGAGGCCAGGGAAAGGGGGTTAGTACAAAACACAATGAGGCTGGGCTCATACAGTGGCTCACCTGTAATCCCAGCACTTTGGGAGGCCAAGGCCGGCAGATCACGAGGTCAGGAGATCGAGACCATCCTGGCTAACATAGTGAAACCCCGTCTGTACTAAAAATACAAAAAAGTTAGCCAGGCATGGAGGCAGGCACCTGTAGTCCCATGTACTCGGGAGGCTGAGGCAGGAAAATGCTGTGAACCCGGGAGGCAGAGTTTGCAGTGAGCCGAGATTGCACCACTGCACTCAAGCCTGGGTGATAGAGCAAGACTCCATCTCAAAAAAAAAAGAAACACAATGAAATGTCAGTGGATGGGTGCCTATAATTTCTAAGGGAAATAGAGTATAATCCAAGAATTTTATAGCCAGGTAAATTATTGCCCAATCAAAATAGGCAAAAGACACTATCACATGTTCAAGAACTTAAAGAATACAGTATTTCTGAGCTCTTTAAAAAAAAAAAGTCTTCATAATAAAATTTAGTCAGCCAAGAAATTACAAAATAAGCAACTTGTGAATTGAATGACCATGACAAAAGGCTAGTGATGAGAGGTGAATCCATTTAAAAATAGGACTACTATTGCAGAACAGAAAGAAAAGGTGGTCAACCTTAACAACATAAAACAACCTAGAAATAACTAGTTTCCAGAGGTAAAGGGAGGGACTGTAGGAAGTAGAAGTGCTAATGCCCTTTATTAAGCCAATTAATCAGGTCTAAAATTGAAACGTGGTTTCAAATATATAACTTCTTTTTTATTTTCCTCCCTAACTACCTGAGGATCAACCACCATGATGAATGACACAGTAACTATCGGGACCAGGAAGTTCGTGACCAATCGACTGCTACAGAGGAAACAAATGGTCATCAATGTCCTTCACCCCAGGAAGGCAACAAAATGTACAAGACCACAATGGGTGTCATCTTAATAGTCGGACTCAGAACCCATTTTGGTGGTGGTTAAACAATGGGTTTTGGCATGTTATCTGGTTCTTTGAATTATGCAAAGAAAAATGAACTCAAACATAGACTTGCAAGACACGGCTGGCATGAGAAGAAGATGACCTCAAAAAAACAGCAAAAGGAATGCAAGGGCAGAATGAAGTCAAGAGACTGCAAAGGCCAATGTCAGTGCTGGCAAAAAGCAAAAGGAGTAAAGATTTTGCAATGACTTTATTTGCAGTGACTGTACAAATTTTTCATGAGATGATCAGTCAACTGTAAAGACTTCTACATATATATAATACATCTTAATATTTTTCATCATCTTTGATTTCTTAGATGTTCTAGAAACTGATTTTTAGTGAGGAAAAACTACATTTATCTGAGTTGACCAGTTCGTTCAGTTTCACTTCCATTTCTTTTTCTTCTGATAAATTTACACAGCATTCAATTTGCTACTTCTTGTTTTTAAAATCTCATTTTGTGTGATCAGAAGTATCTGTTCATGTCTCTAGCCATCTTTGTGCATAGCAAGGAATGCTGTTCACTTAATATTATGGAGGTTTATTTCTTGGGGTCATGAGATTTGGGGTGATTTCTCTCCCTTTTTGTACTTTTCGGTATTAATTTTTTGAGACAATGTCACCAATGTCCTTCATATTAATATTTGGACTCAGAATCCCTTTTGGTGGTGGTTAAACAATCATCACCCACATTGGAGTGCAGTGGTACGATCTCAGCTCACCAAACCTCTGCTTCCCAGGCTTAAGCGATTCTTCTGCCTCAGCCTCCCCCGTAGCTGGGATTACAGGAACGCACCACCACTGCCTGGCTAATTTTTATATTTTTAGTAGAGATGGGGTTTCACCTTTTGGCCAGGCTGGTCTTGAACTCCTGACCTCAAATGATCCACCCGCCTTGGCCTCCCAAAGTGCTAGGATTACAGGCATGAGCCACTATGCCCAGCCTTTTCTGTATTAAATTTTTTAAAACACAACATTTAAAATAATCAAGTCATTCTTTTTGAATCTACTTTGTATTATAGGTATCCAAATACTCACCTATTCTCTCTCACATGATGACAAACTTGTTGAAATGTCATTTCATTTTGTGGCTCCAGCCCCAGGGATTCTGACTCTGATTCTAAAGGGTCTGCATGCAGAGCGAGCAAGCTGCCTGGATGATTCTCTTGCAGGTGTTTTAAGGGCAGGAGTTTGAGACACCCTGATGCAAAAGAACGAACCCTCAAGGAAGTTGGCTGTACATGTATTTTCCTTCCTAGCACAGGAAATGACAGAGAGATTATCCAATCAGTACCACTCATAGCACCTGATTATACGTGCATGAGGAATTCAGAAATGGTTTGATCAAGGTTGAAGACCTAAAAAGAGGCTTTTCTCTTGGACACCAAGTCCCCATCTCATGCGTGGTTGAGTTAGTAGAAACTGAGGATGATGCTTCTTCCTCCAGCATTGGTATCCCATGGTTTTTGTTCAGTTGATGAAGTACCTCCATCCCCCAACACCCCCAAGCTCAATCCCAGTTTCCTCACATACACTTTTTTTTTTTTTTTTTTTTTTTTGAGACAGAGTCTTGCTCTGTCACCCAGGCTGGAATGCAGTGCAGTGGTGCAACCTCAGCTCACTGCAACCTCCATCTCCCAGGTTCAAGTGATTCTCCTGCCTCAGCCTCCTGAGTAGCTGGGATTACAGACATGCACCATCATGCCTGGCGAATTTTTGTATTTTTAGCAGAGATGAGGTTTTATCATGTCGTCCAGGCTTGTCTCAAACTCTCGGCCTCAAGTGATCCACCCACCTCAGCCTCCCAAGTGCTAAGATTACAGGTGTGAGCCACCGTGCCCAGCCTCCTCGCTTACACTTTTACAGAAGATCTGATCATACCCACTCCGCAGAAGTCAGAATGGCCCCCACGTGGTGTTGAACGGGAGTGAAAATTTGAGTTCCATCAACTGACGGTGACACAGAAACATTTCCCCCAAGATGCTTTTGGCAGCTCTGCTGATCCATAACCTGGCTCCATTTCAGGGCAAGAACTCCACTTAAGCTGCACTGGCTTCCACTAGAGTAAATCACATTAACTCATGGAAAACACAACTGAAGGGCAAAAAGATTCTTTTTAAAATGATTTTTGTCTCTCACTTACCAACACACGCTGGCCTCCCTATTGCCTGACTCCATTCAACACCTGTTCCACTGAGCACCCACTGAAAGCTCAGCTCATGAGCTGAGATGACCCAGACATCAAGGAGTTTACAATCCAGGGGAAGAACAGACCTGAATACAAGTGATGACAATACAAGATGGAGTCAAAGAGCCCAACTTGAAGTTTCAGCAGAATAGCACCAAAGACTAGTTCCCAACCCAGCTCCCAGAGCCAGAGCCAGAGCCAGAGCCAGGCTGGCTGCATGAGATCAGCTGGGAGCTTTTGCAAACGTAGGTCCTAGCTGAGCCCCTAATCATCACACTGGGAGTCACTGGGAGTGAGCTCCAGGAACTGGTTTATTTAATAAGCACCCACACACACATGATTCTGATGTTCCTAAGGGTTGTAGAAACATGGAACTATAGAAAACACTAAAAAAAAAAAGGCACTAAAAGAAACCTATAAATATTCACTACCATCCCAGGCATCATGAGGACTCTCCAAGTGCACTATTTACAATACTTAGAATAACCTGGAAGGGAAGCATTCATTCATGACGATGGGCTTTATCGGGATCAGAGCCAGCCCTGGGAATGCTTCAACCTGTGCTGAAGGTCACCCCCTCCTCCCCACAGGAGGGGGCTAACATTAAGGAGCAGGGCCCAGATGGGAAATGGAGTGTCCTTTTATTATGAGACCACAGTGAGAGACTTTTTTTTTTTCCACAGTGTCATTCTTGCCACCCAGGCTGGTGTGCAGTGGTGCAATCTCAGCTCACTGCAACTTCCGCCTCCTGGGTTCAAGCGATTCTCCTGCCTCAACCTCCTGAGTAGCTGCAACTATAGGCGCCCGCCACCATGCCTGGCTCATTTTTGTATTTTTAATAGAGACAGGGTTTCACTATGTTGGTCAGGATGGTCTTGATCTCTTGACCTCATGATCCACCTACCTTGGCTTCCCAAAGTGCTAGGATTACAGGTGTGAGCCACCACGCCTAGCCTGAGACTTTCAAGTAAAGCCACAATGGACCACAGAGCTTAGACATCAGGGCTAACATGGAATCTCTGTCATTAAATCTTGAGCTCTTATTATCTTTGCTCAAAAAAAAAATAATCACAATTGACATTTTGAGGACAAGACATCTGAATGTAAACTTGATCTTAGAGGATATTAAGGAATTACTGGTGATTTGATTAGGTATGACAATGATCATATAAAGAATGCCCTCATGTTTTTAGAGGGAAAGTAAATTATGTAGGGGTGAATATCATGATGCAATTACATAACTATTGTAAACAATTTTTTAAATACTTCAGAAAAAATGGAGTAAATATTGCACACTTTAATAGTTTTTAAACCTATGTGATGGGTATATGGTAGCTCATTAAACTAGTCTCTCTACTTTTATGTATATTGAAAATTTTTCATAATAATAATAATAATAAAAACCTTGGCCAGGCACAGCAGCTCATGCCTGTAATTCCGGCACTTTGGGAGGCCGAGGTGGATGGAGGACTGCTTGAGCCCAGGAGTTTGAGACCAGCCTAGACAACATGGTGAAACCTCATCTCTACAAAAAATAGACAAATTAGTCAGGCATGGTGGTGTGCACCTGCAGTCCCAGCTACTCAGGAGGCTGAGGTGGGAGTATCACCTGAGCCCAGAAGGTCAAGGCTGCAGTGAGCCAAGGTCATGCCACTGCACTCCAGCCTGGGCGACAGACCCTGTCTCAAACAAACAAGCAAACCAAAACCCTCTTGATCCCATTTCCCAAAAAAATGATTTTGAGATCTTACCATCTCCTGGCTTGGTGCGGAGTACAGGAAATCAAGACAAAGTACAGCACACAAGGAATAAGGAGGGAGGGAAGCGTGGGGGAGGCTGACACTGTGGACTCTCCCAGCTCAGTCGACCCATGCACCTTGCTTCATGGAAGAAAGGAATGGAAGATGAATCATGCCTTTCACACACAGTGACCTTCCTCACTAGTAAATGTGCCTCCAGAAGTGTCCAAGAACTCAGTGCCAGAGCCAGGCTGGCTGCATGAGAATCACCTGCGAGCTTTTGCAAACATAGGCCCCTACTGGGTCCAGATGTATTCATCTCTTGGAGAGGAGGAGAGAGGCAGAACAAAGAAAAGGATGGGAAGAAACCAGCCCTGTGCACAGGAGGATCCTGGGATTCCTCCTGCACGTTTAGTGCAATGCAGCCTATTTTACAAGGTCACAGAAGCTCAGAGAGGTAAACCTGCCCAGGTTCTCATAGTTTGTAACTGGCAAAACCTGCCCAAATCTCTGTCTAGAGATATTTCCACTTGCTTCAACTCTGGAGCTGTCTTAGTTGTAAAGATGAGAGATTCCACTCATCATTCACTTTTGTTTGCAGATATTGCCTAAGGTACCTTGTGAATATTTAGGTCAGGGCTGTTTTTTTGAGTTTTTTGTTTGTTTGTTTCTTGGTTTTTTTACAAAGCAATCTTGTGGATAGAACCCAAAGTGGCTCCGCCATTTAAGACCCTGTAAACAGGGAGACCAGAGTCTGGAGTCCTGGTCTGGTTTCCACACCTTCCTTAGATTTCCCTGTGTGTAAAATCCAACAACAATCTTTGACAAATTGCCTCCCCTACGGGAGAGATGGAGGAAGTGTTAACTTCGCTTTTTTTTTTTTTTTTCTGTTTTCAGACAGAGCCTCGCTCTGTCACCCAGGCTGGAGTGCAGTGGCGCCATCTCAGCTCACTGCAACCTCTGCCTCCTGAGCTCAAATGATTCTTGTGCCTCAGCCTCCTGAGCTGCTGGGACTACAGGTAGATGACACCACACCTGGCTAGTATTTGTATTTTTAGTAGAGATGGAATTTCACATATTGGCCAGGCTGGTATTGAACTCCTGGCCTCAAATGATCCGCCCCCCTCAGCCTCTCAAAGTGCTAGGACTACAGGCATGAGCCACCATGCCCAACCACTTTGCTATTTTTTTTTAATAGACAGCTTCGAGGTCCAGCATGAGTTCATAGCTTAGGAAACATCACAGGCAAAGAAGAACACTTTGCATTCAAATAGCAGAATGTTTTCATTTTCAAAGAGCTCTCACCTGCCATCTAATCTTGTCTTCCTAGCAGTCCTGGGAGAGAAGCAGACGTGGTTTCCAATCCCACTTTCCAGAAGAGGAGACTGAGGCAGAGGCTTTGCAGATACACAGAGGACATGTGAGGACAGGTGAAGGTCATGATCATTGTCAGCCCCCTCCCCCAACTTGACATTCCCAGATCTGGTGGACTTCCAGCCAGAGGAGAAAGAAGGATTGGATCACTCAACTCTGCCATGGGTGCCAGGACCAAATTTTTCCCTGGCTAACTCGGTCACATCCTGTCTGGGATCTCCAACTACTACCCATCCCACAAGTCTCAGCTAAAACAGCAATTCAACGAGGAACTTTTTTCTGAGGCTCCAGGATTGGGCCAGGCCCTCTCCATTGCTCTCTGCCCTTCCCCTACTGCAGAACTTAGCACCTGTATGTCACTATTGGTTCAAACATGTGTCTTTCGTATGCTCTCCACGTTATCTGCAGCATCTGCCAAGAATAATAATGGATGGTAAAACCTAATCTCTATTGAGTGTCGATGATGCACTTTTAACGTGACATCTTATTTAATCCTCACTATATCTGCAAGAGTAGAAGCTATTAATAGCCAATTTTCAGATAAGAAAATCAAAGCACAGTTTCTATAACTTACCCAAGCAGCTAGCTAGGAGGCAGCTCAGTTTGAGCCCAGGGAATCATATTCTAGAGACCGTGCTCTCAATTACTAGAGCAGGTACCTCCCCAGAATCTAGCAGGTGGTTAACGAGTCTTTGTGGAATAAATGAACAGAAGGACAAGCAGATGGATGGATACATAGGTGGGTGGGTGGATAGATGGGTGGATGGAAAGATGGGTGGGCGGGCAGGTGGATGAATGAATGGATGGTTGAGTCGGTGAAGGGATGGCTGAGTGGGTGGAGAAATGGATGAGTGGGTGAGGGGGTGGAGGGATAGATAAATGGATGCACAGGTGGGTGGATAGATGGGTAGATGAGTGAATGGGTAGATAGATGCATGGGTGAGTGGATGGATAGATGGGTTGGTGGGTGGGTAGGTGGATGATAGCTGGGTGCATAAAAGAGTGGGTTGGATGGATAGATGGGTGGGTGGTGGGTGGATAGATGGTAAGGTGGGTGGATGGATGTATGCATGTCTGGATGGATGGATGGATGGAATGGTGGATGGATGGATGGACAGATGAACAGATGGACTTGAGCATTTATTCAGGGTCCTCCAAAGAATTGAATGATTTCCTAGGGTGTGTCATCACCTGCAGGTGGGTGGGCAAGGGGGCTTGCCTCTGTAATACTCATGATTATGGGTAGTGCTCAGCCTTAGTCACCACTCTCAGAACACTTTATTGACTAGGAAAGTCAAAACTGGCATTGACAACTAGTGCAAATTACAGCTATAACTAACAGAAGATGTTGAGTGATGACAGCTGGGCAACCAATAATCAATAACTTGGCTGTGTCATGTTGCTGCCATGCTGGACAGGTAGAGCCACGGGTTCCTTGATCCTTCCATCACATTGAGGATGCTTATCAAGACTTCCCCAACCATGGAGACAGGGATCTTATCAAATTCTTGCAGTTCACCCCAAAAGGCTCACCCTCTTCGTTCCACCTGCACATGACCTTCAGCTCAAAGACATTTCCAGTCCCCCAGGTCAGCCCTTCTTCCAGCCTTTGAATTAACCCTGATGTCTGCCTGCTCATTAGGTATCTTCACCTTTCATCACACAGCCTTTTCCAAGGCTTTCCTTCAGTCCAGCCCTCACTAAACGCTGGAACTGTTGTTGACAAAATCCAGAACAAGCTGGCTGGGGGATACAGGTGGGAAGCAGGCTGTAGTAATGGGGAAAAATTCTAAGCAATCTCAAACACAGAAAAGAAACTGAACAGGTAAGAGAGAGGCAGACAAGAGGAGAAGTGTGAATTTTGCATAACTGAAGCTGAAGAAGAGCGGGGGGCATGGCAGACCACAAGGTAAATATGATATAGACTCCTTTTTAAAAAAATATAAACACCCACCCTTTCCTACAGACAACTGTGCTTCAAATATTGCTAAGGTCTTTACTAAAGGTGAGTCAGAAAAACTGAGTATTTTATGCAATACAGTAAGAAGGCCCATAGGCAAGCATGTTCCTGACACCACCTTCTAGGATAACCCCTGGGATTCTGGTTACACCTGTCCTAAAGTTGTCTCTCACTCCTGCTGTTGGAGAGCTACCATGAGAGAAGAACCATAGTGAAGTGGTTAAGAGTGTGCACCCAGCGACCAGCCAGATCGCTTCAAACCATCACTATCTAATACCGAGCAAGTTACACAATGTTCTTGAGCCTCAACTTTCTCATCTGTAAAATGGGTATGCCGTCATTCATTAATCAAATTCTAGGTAAGCATATACTAAACACCAGAGACACAAATGAGAATCAGGAACAGGCATGGCCCTGGCCCTCACGGTGACCACAGTCTTGAAGGGGAAGGATGACACGCACAGAAACAGGAAGCCGTAGCTGAGCTAGTGTCTACCACAGAGAGGCACCTGGTGTCATGAAAGCAGATAACAGGGGGTTGCTGTGACTGAGTCAGTGTGGCCAGACGTCCCTGAGGATGTAGTGACTCCACTGTCAGATGAGACCGTGACCAGGTGAAGAGGCAGGGAGAGGGAAAATCTTTCCAGGCAGAAAGAGCAGGATGTGCAAAGGCCCTGCGGCAGGAAAAGAGCAAAGGAAGTGCAAGAGCCTGAAAATGGCCAGAGAGAACAAGTGAACATGTGGATAATCACAGCACCGACCTCATACAGGACTGCTCAGGATACCCAGGACAGAGTCCTAGATGCTTGAAGTCATGATAAGTATCCAGAATGACACAGAATTCCAGCCAGGCATGGTGGCTCATGCCTGTAATCCCAGCACTTTGGTAGGCCGAGGTGGATCACCTGAGGTCAGGAGTTCGAGACCAGCCTGGCCAACATGGTGAAACTCCCTCTCTACTAAAAATACAAAAAAAAAATTAGCCGGGTATGGTTGTGGGTGCCTGTAGTCCCAGCTACTCAGGAGGCTGAGGCAGGAGAATCGCTTGAACCTGGGAGGCAGAGACTGCAGTGAACCGAGATTGCACCATTGCACTCCAGCCTGGGCAACAAAAGTGAAACTCCGTCTCAAAAAAGAAAGAAAGAAAAAATAATGACACAGAGTTTGCTAAAGGGGGAGAAAAGGCTTTCTTCCAAAGCTGGGCCTGGTTTCTACAGAGAGTCTTTCAGATGAAAATTAAGCAACTCTTTGCAAGCAGCTCTTTGCAAGCACCTCAGAGGAGAACCCCTCACCCTGATGAATCAGGCACACAGATGGATCCAAGACAATTGGCTGCGTGCATGTGAACAAGCCCATGGTGGAAATGCAGTGCTTTATTTGTTTGGGGTGGTTTAATCACCAGGAGGGTGAAGCTTCTAAAGCAGCATTCAGAAGTGGCTGTTGACTGGGTTTTCTGGAAGGGGGAGGTGGTGAGGATGAGGGCTTCCATTTCATCTGCAGGCCCCTTGCAGAAGGAGCTGGGGAAAGCTTTGCAGCCATCTGCACACTGTTTGCCATCTTGTCTGGCTGGGCAGCCGAGCTCCAAATGGGGGCAGATGGGATAGCTCTTGCCACTGTATTTGGAGAGAGATGGCAGGGAAGTCAGCCCCCATGAAGAAGACAGGAGCACACAGGTGCTGGACAGTGCTGTCTAGACCCCTGGGGCTGAAGTGCCCAACCCCACAGCCTCTAGGTGCCACTAAAGGGGCCCAAGGGGATCTTTTCTGTCCATCTCCATCTTGGCACCTACAGACACTTGGAGAGAGTCCTTCACATGGGAACTCACAAATGCACACTGATAACCCCCACACGGAACTCTCATATGTAGCAAGTGAAAAGACAGGATGCCAGTTTAACTTGAATTTCAGACAAACAACAAATCATTTTTAGGGTAAGCAGGTCCCAAATATTTCATGGGATATATTTGCACCAAAAAAAAAAAGTGGTTAATGAGAAATTCAGGTTTAATTGGACTTCCTGTATTTTACCTGGCAAGCCTAACCCTGCATAAACACAACCCCGAGCTTGAAACTCACAGAGAAGCCATGGCTGTGATCACACACGTGCACAAACCCATATGCCTTACAGAGTCAAGGGCTGTGACGAGGGGGTCCCCACCCTTGCACACTTCCCTGTCCTCTGTCTGGGTTCAGAGCAAAGAGGGGGTCAGCTGGCATCCACATCTAAGCTGGGCTTGGAGGTGTCCTAATGAAGCAGGATGCTGACCTGCACTTCCCCAGCTCAGCGGGGGCTGCAGCCAGGCCTAGCTTCCAGTCTCGGGCCTAGAACACACAGCACAGCCCCAGACCTTGGCAAGAAGTCTTCATCTCAAGGGCCACTGTCTCAGGACCTATTAGAAGCCCCACTTCTTTCCTCTGTTTCTGCTGCCATTGCCCCAGTCTCTGACCCTGACACTCAATCACTCTATAAACACGGCAGGTACTAGGGGTGGCTCTGGGCTCGGCACTAAAGACAATGCCCCTGGTAAAGCCACAGTCTACCAATGACAGTCAACCACGTATCAGCAACAGCCCTGCCCCACAGGTGCTGACTGCGCACAAGGCCGGCGCTGTGAACTTGCTCTCAACAGTGATCTCACTGAACCCTCATGGCAGCTCTAGGATGCAGACAGTAGCATCACATTATCCCCATTTTACTTTTGAGGAAACTGAGGCCTGAAAAAGACAAATGCAGGCCTCGAGATTTGCAGTAACATTGCCAGGAATGTTTGAGAAAGCAGACTTCTCCAGAGTGAGGCAGTCTGCCAGAGCTCAGAAGCCAGAGTCCCTGTTAGCAGGGGCTGGGGGGACGGTGGGGTGTGGGCAGACAAGCAGGTAGGGGCTGGACCCCCCAGGACACCAGGGTGCAGACTGGTGTGAGTAAAAGAAAGAGAGGCGGTCATGCCATCATCTGCAGAAGATGATGTCTACAGAGGACAGTACCATGTGAGCCCTTGGGGAGCCGGATGACTGGATGGAATTTTGCACAGGATGCAAATTAAGCACAGATCCACCTCTGACCTAGACAGCCCACCTCCAGGAACATCTCACAGAAATGCAGGCACAGAGCACCAAGTGGTGTGTGTAAGGAAATTCATCAGAACACCGTCTGTGATTGGGAAAAGGCGGAAACCATCCAAAGACATATAGGTGCAGGGCTGGTTAAACGAAGCATGGTGCATCCACACATCAGAATACCTGCTGGGAGAAGAAGGTAGTACCCCGGTTCCAACGTGAGACAATGTCAAAGACATGCTGCCTGAAAAGCAAGCTTTCCAAAGAATAAATGTAGCATTATTCCATTTTTACTTTTTAAAAAAGGTTACAATAAACACTTACGTGCAAATACATGTGCTTGAGTGCACAGAGGAAAAAGGTGTGGACAGGAACAGAAAACCAAACTCTGCGGGTTCTCACTCATAAGTGGGAGTTGAAAAATGAGAACACATGGACACAGGGAGGGGAACATCACACACCGGGGCCTGTCGGGGGTGAGGGACAAGGGGTGGAAGAGTGTTAGGACAAATACCTAATGCATGCGGGGCTTAAAACCTAGATGACGGGTTGATAGGTGCAGTAAACCACCATGGCACATGTATATCTATGTAACAAACCTGCACATTCAGCACATGTATCTCAGAATGTAGAATAAAAAATAAAAAGAAATCAAAGAAAAAGGTGTGGAGAGGTATACCCCAACCCTTGCCAGTGTTACCTCTGAGAAGCAAGATCAAGAAAAGCAAATCAAGAGGATGTTTTGTTTTTTCTTTTTATATAAATTTTTTTTTTTAAAACAGTCTCGCTCTATTGCCCAGTCTGGAGTCCAGGGACACAATCTCAGCTCACTGCAACCTCCTCCTCACTGCAACCTGCTCCTCACTGCAACCTGCTCCTCACTGCAACCTGCTCCTCACTGCAACCTGCTCCTCACTGCAACCTGCTGCTTCTGGGTTCCAGTGATTCTCTTGCCTCAGCCTCCCAAATAACTAGGATTACAGGTGTGCACCACCAAGCCCGACTAACTTTTGTATTTTTTGTAGAGACAGGTTTTCACTATTTTGGCCAAGCTGGTCTCGAACTCCTGGCCCACACGCCTTGGCCTCCAAAAGTGCTGGGATTACAGGTGTGAGCCACCATGCCTGGCCTGCATTGCTTGAATTCTCAGACCACGTGGACCCTCTCATCTGGTCCAATTGCAAGAGTCCAAGGCAGGAAAGGCAGAAGGCAGGGGCTTACCCCTCCATCAGGACAACTTAGAACAGAGTCGAAAAGAAAAACATGAATGGATCAGTCAAGAGGGCCGTGCCCATGACTTCCCAGGCACCTACACCTTGCAACTTAAGCCGACAAGCTTTCAAGCCAGAGTCTTCCTTCCTAGAGACTAGCAAGGACACAAGCCCTGGCCAGTCCCCTCCAGGAGGATGGTCTGAGGGATAAAGTGGGGGGCACAGTCAGGGGTGGCAGGAGGAAAGGGGGACACGAAGCCAAGGAAACCAGGGCACCCCATGCTTCCTGAAGGCCACCAGAACAGGGCGCCACACAGAGCCCCTGTGTACCTGTTTCTACAACAGCCTGAACACAAGGAAAAGGAAAACAAGGAAAATACACAAAGCCCAGCCTCACCTGGAGCAGGTTAAATAAAGGTGTGTGACTTCATGTCCTTTGGAATTGGAAATCCAAGCTTCCTCTTCTGTGCCTTTAAGGTCCTGGCTGCTGCCCCAAAGCTCCCTTCTCTTCCCTCCTCCTCTTGTCCTGACTTTTTTGAGATGGAATCTTGCTCTGTTGCCCAGGCTGGAGTACAGTGGCACAATCTCAGCTCACTGCAACCTCCACCTTCTGGGTTCAAGCAATTCTCGTGTCTCAGCTTCCCGAGTAGCTGGTATTATAGGTGTCACCATGTCCAGCTAATTATTGTATTTTTAGTAGAGACAGGTTTTCGCCATGTTGGCCAGGCTAGTCTCAAACTCCTGGCCTCAGGGGATCCGCCCACCTGGGCCTCTCAAAGTGCTGGGATTACAAGTGTGAGTCACCATGCCTGGCCCTCTTGTCCTACCTCTGCCATCTCTTTGCAGTCTCCCCTGAGCAGCTTTTCCTGGGCTCGCCCTGCCCCCCTCCAGAGCTGCACTCTCAAACCACCCCCCAATGCCCCCTGGCCCTGGCTCCTGCCCCGGGGCTCTAATCCTCAGCTGGTGAGGTCTAGAGGGTCAGAGGGAGCCAGACTCCCTAGAGAAGCTAAGGCAGAAGCCCTGTGCTTAGGCAGGAGCTAAGCTAAGCTAAGGCAGGAGCCCTGTGGGTAACCTGCCCCCTTCCAGCTGGGGCCAAATAGAAGGGGGAAAGGCTGCCCCCAGAATACAGGGCTCTCAGAGGCCCTGGGGATCTGTGCTGGCAGTCAGGAGGACTGTCACCTCAGTGCAGTTGCCTGCAAGGAGGGCTGTGCAGGAAGCTGCATGTTGCTCAGAGAACAAAAAAAAAGGAAATTAAATGTACCATCTGGTTATTGGCAAGAGCCTTTGAGACAGACACTTAAATATGCATGCCTAGACATTATAAAACTTGGGGGAAATGTTAATTTCAATAACGCCACTTCTTGTGCTTGCAGAAACCATTCTTTTATCTCCCTTCCTAGTAATTTGGGGGCTCCATCCCTCAGAGTGGCAGCGCCAAGACAGCTGGCCTCACTGGGTTTTGTAAGCTGTGCAAGGTGAGATCCCAAGCCCTTACCTGGAGACCCATCTTAGGAAAATGTTAGAACAGGGCAACAAGTTGCCATTTCCTCCCTCCTTTCTCTTCCCCATACAAAAATCAGAAAGCACACTAGCCCAGTGCCCAGCCACAGTGGTGAGGAGACCCCACTCAAAATCCTGGGTTGTGCCCCTGATACCAAAGACCTGCAAAATTGGGAATCACCTGCTGCAACCCTAGCCCAGACTTGTGTACATTTCAGGGGTGGCTGGACTCACGGCTGCCTGGGACGTCAGGGTGGTACAAAGTCCTCTTAATCTAAGACTGTCGGGGTACAAAGATAAGCATTTTTTCCCCCTTTTCTTGAGAGCCAGATGGTAAATAGTTCAGCTTTGCAGGCCATAGGTCTCTGTCCCAACTACTCAACTCTCCATTGTAGCAGGAAAGCAGCCACAGACAATATGCACTGAAATGGGTGTGGCTGTGTTCCAATAAAACTTTATATGTGTGAACAGGCAGGGGGCTGGTTGTGGCCTGTGGGCTACAGCCTGCCTCCTCTGCTACAGCGTGATCTCCAAGGACCGATCCATCTTGTAGACCAGCAGCTGGCACACAGGAACTGCTCAGATACTTGAAGGAGGAATGGAGAAGGCAAGCAGCCCCCAGTGTGCAGACATGAGGGTCTCCCAGCAGCACCATCCTTTGCCATCTCATGCTGAGGGACAAAGCCAGAGCAGGGCTCTCCACCAAGGCTGGATTCTCCTCCAAGGAAATTTGATAAGAGGACAGAAAGCACTGTGGAAGGATGGGGGCTTTGGAGTCCCACAAACCACAGTTTGCAAGACCAGGAGCATCCTACACTTCCTTGCACACATCCTGGGTGGTTGCTGGAGCATCTAGACTTAGAGTGAATCTTTTCCCCCTCCTCCCCCAATTGGCCTCCATTACACTTCCAGCAACAATGTAGTGTACGTACACAATGGAATACTATTCAACCTTCAAAACGAAGGAAATCCTGCCATTTGAGAAAACGTGGATGAGCCTGGAGGATATTATGTTAAGTGAAATAAGCCAGGCACAAAACGACAAATACCACATGATCTCACTTATATGTGAAATCTAAAAAAGTTGAACTCGGCCAGGCATGGTGGCTCATGCCTTTAATCCCAGCACTTTGGGAGGCTGAGGCCGGCAGATTGCTTGAGCCCAGGAGTTCGAGACCAGCCTGCATAACATAGCAAGACCCCATCTCTACAAAAAAATACAAAAATTAGTGGAGCGTGGTGGTGCATGCCTGTACTCCCAGATACTCAGGAGGCCGAGGTGGGAGGATTGATTGAGCTTGGGAGGTCAAGGCTGCAGTGAGCCAAGATCACACCCCTGCACTACAGCCTGGGCAATAGAGTGAGATTGTCTCAAAAAAAAAAAGAAAGAAAAAGAAAAGAAAAAAGTTGAATTCACAGAAGCAGAGTAGAACGATGGTTGCCAGGGTGGGGAAGTGGGCAGATGCCAAAGGACAGAGAATGTCATTTTTAGAGAGGAAGAATAAGTTCAGGATATCTATGGGACACATGGTACCTACAATTAATAACAACATATCATACACTTGGAAATCACTAAGAGAGTAGATTTTTTAAGTGTTCTCACCATAAAAAAATAAGTCTGGGAGGTGATATGTTATTTAGCTTGATTTAGCCATTTTGTAATGTATACATACTTGAATCACATCATGTTGTACCCTCTTGTACATAATTTTTGTCAATTCAATAAATTCAACAACTCCAAAAAACAAGACATTCTTTTTACAAAATAATTATTAAAAATAAAGTTCAGAATTCTATTTTATTTATTTATTTATTTTTGAAAGTCTCGCTCTGTCACCCAGGCTGGCTGACGTGCAGTGGTGCGATCTCGGCTGACTGCAAGCTCTGTCTCCCAGGTTCAAATGATTCTCCTGCCTCAGCCTCCCAAGCAGCTGGGATTACAGGTGTGTGCCATCACACCTGGCTAATTTCTGTATTTTTAGTAGAGACAGTTCCGCCATGTTGGCCAGGCTGGTCTCGAACTCCTGACCTTAGGTGATCCGCAAGCCTCGACCTGCCAAAGTGCTGGGATTACAGGTGTGAACCACTGCGCCTGGACAGAATATAAAAGATTGTTTAATTCAACTAAAACATTAAAACATAGATTATTTCTATAAGTGGTAATTGTTCTAACATGTTTTGTTCAAAATAGTCTTCTTACTCATCCACAATTAAATGGTTAATTGACATTTGATTGGATTTTGATAAAGTTTTCAAATCATGATTGACTTTTCCAATGTACAGTAAAATGTTTGAAAATATTTCATAAAAATTAATATTTAAAAATGGTCAGGCATGGTGGCTCATGCCTATAATCCCAGCACTTTGAGAGGCCAAGGTGGGCCGATCACTTGAGGTCAGGAATTTGAAAGCAGCCTGGCCAAACCTCATCTCCACTAAAAATACAACAGTTAGTCGGGCATGGTGGCGCACACCTGCATTCCCAGCTACTTGGGAGGCTGAGGGAGGAGAATCCTTTGAACCTGGGAGGTGGGTTCCCCAGGCTTAGAGCAAAACCCCCATCTTGTCTGTCTCCACTCTCATCCCAGGCAATCGTGGTCATTTCCACAGCCTCAACCACTGCCTACCTGGGATGCGTCCCCAGCCCAAGTCTCCAGCCCAAACCTGCCTTCCTAGCCCCAGACCCATCTGTCCTGGCACACGTTGCCCCCTGGGTCCCAAGCAACCTCAGCCAATGAGTCCAACGTCAACTTCCTGTCCTTGCCTGACACTGTCAGCCCTGAGGTCAGACTTGACCATTCACCTCCAGTACCTGTAGGTCCATCAGTCCTTTGGAACATATCCCACGAATATTCCCCAAACCAGGCACCGGACTCCACACATCAACACCGTCATGTGAGTCACCAGCATCCCTGGCAGGGACCCCTGTCCCAGCCGCCAACTCATCTCCTTCCTGTCCCTTGAGTTCTGTGTCACATTCCAGAGGCCACAAGAAGAAAAATGACAACCTTAATGAAATTAAAAGAATTGAGAAGACATTTCCCTATGGTCCAAAGTCTTTCCAACTGAGAAACACATATCAAGATCCAGCCTGCCAACCCTGCGGTTAAATGTTCCTGAAATAATTAAAGCCCAGGGCAACACAGCCCCCACTCCACAAGTACTCCCAGCACAGTAAGACTTGCTTCTCTGGAGGGGCTTGAAATGTCCAGTGTGTACCCTGCCCCTCTCTGTCATAGCTAACAGGAATGTGTTCCGTGTCTTCTTCCTGCTCAAAGGACCATCCACAAATCTGTGCAGGCAGCACTTTCGGCCAAGTTGGGGGATGCGAGAACTTCCCACCATTTCCCACTTACGCACTGCATTCGTCAGGAGCCTCCCTCACAAATTACAAGAGCGCCACGGCAGACACACGATGTTCCAGTGGGTGGCCATGTCTTCATGTCAGCTTGAAAGATCATCACCAGGGAAATATCTATATCTCGGCAGAGAGAGCTTCAGCCTGTGTAGTCCAGCTGTGCTCAAATGGAAATCCAGAAACCCAGATGTTGGTCCAAACAACCTGTCTCGGACAGCCAGCTCTGCAGGTCCCCAGCGTGGGAGTGAACTGGGTGGGCCACCTACCCTGCCTGCCCACATCCCTGCCTCCTGGAATCCTGGACCCTGAGAACCAGGGGGATGTGGTGGGGAACAGGCAAGTCTTGTGCAGAAAGCCAAGATGCCACCCAAATCCATTCTGCAGTCTAGGTGGGTGATATTCTGGTCTGCACCACACCAGTGCATGAGGGGATGGAGGATGGAGTCTAGACAAGCCAAATGTAAAAAGATATTGCCCAAGTATTTTGTGCTTTGTCTGTGTTACAATGCTATGCCCAGCCCAGCGTGGTGGCTCACACCTGTGATCTCAGCACCTTGGGAGGCCGGGGCAGGAGGATCACCTTAGGTCAGGAGTTCGAGACCAGCCTGGCCAAAATGGTGAAACCCCATCTCTACTAAAAATACAAAAATTAGCCAGGTGTGTTGGTGGGCACCTGTAATCCCACCTACTCGGGAGGCTGAGGCAGGAGAATCACTTGAGCCCAGGAGGTGGAGGTTGCAGTGAGCGGAGATCATGCCACTGCACTCCAGCCTGGGCAACAGAGTAAGATTCCATCTTTAAAAAACATAAAAATAAATAAGTGCTATGCCCAGCATTTTTCATGTACTGTCTTATTATCTCAGTAAATCCCATATAACCTTCCTATGAAAGTGTATCTCATTTATCTCTATTTTATAGATGAGAAAACTAAGGCCCCTGGAGTCGTATTAATTTTCCAAGACCGCATTGCTCATAAAGGGTACAGCAGGGACCCGAGCTCAACACTCTCACCCTCAAACATTTCCACAAGTGTAGACCAATGGCTCTCAACTGGGGTGGTTTTGCTCACGTACCACTCCCTTGCCCCACAGCATTTGAAAGCATCTGGAGACATCTGGGGTAGCCATAGCTGGGAGGGTAGAATGGCACCTAGAGGATGGAGACCAGAGATGCTGCTAACCATCCTACAATACACAGGACGCCCCCCACTCACCACCACCACGAATGGTCTGACCCCAAGTGTTGTGACTGTGCCAAAGCTGAGAAACCCAGGTTTCTCCTCAGCAAGAAGGGAAAATACCTGCAACGTGGATGCACCTCTA
This sequence comes from Homo sapiens, assembly GCF_000001405.40. NCBI lineage: Eukaryota > Metazoa > Chordata > Mammalia > Primates > Hominidae > Homo > Homo sapiens. The sequence goes on along the minus strand of NT_187537.1, from coordinate 110,680 downwards.
CAGGCACCCCAGGCTGACAATAACCTTCCTGATCTGGTTTCAACCCTGGATGCTTTTACCTGGTGCGTCCATCAGGGATTTCAGGGACTCCAGTGAGTTATCACCCTTGAATGCTCGGTTCTGCCTGACGACCCAGAAATCTCTGCCAAGATGCCTGGTCTTGGGGAAGGCTCAGCAAATGGTTGAGGTTGATAACCAAATACCTAGAAGAGACTTTTCTCTCCCTCCAGGAGGAGCTGTGGGTCAGACACACCCTGGGATCATTCACAAGCGGTCAATAAAGGCTTGGCGAGGGCCAGGTTTTCTAGGCCTTCTCAATGGGATGGGTGTTTGTGGATACACAAGAAGCCTGTGAAACTTCTGATATTGGCAGGAAATCAATGTCCCCCACCCTCCACCCCCCCACATCCCCAATATAAACACATGCCCTGCAGCAGGACTTGGCACTCAGGGGCTCCTGGGGTCCCGATTTACCTGCTAAAATATCCTCTAGCCACCACCGAATAAAGCAACCCCTTGCCACCCAACCACAAGAGCACAGCCTGGGAGCCACTCCAAGGGACACCAAGTCACAGTAAAACCTCAGCCATCCAGAGCACCAGGCCTGGTGATGAGAAAGAACATTTTATCCTTAAAAGCATCTGAATGCCTATGCTACTTCTTGCAGAGAAAAGTCCAAAATAATCTGCTATTAAAGAACAAGGATGGTTTTGACATTTTTACCAAGCTAATGGTCTACGCAGACAAAATCTCATAAAAGGGCACTCTGTTCTTCTTGATCCACTCAGACATGGCCTGTGAGTGAAGAAACGGGCTCTCCTCCTCAAAGAAATCACTGCTGGTCCTCACACCAGCCTGACACTGCTTCATGGGTTCCTCAAACAGAGTATTCCCATAGAAACTAAAAGGGTAGAGGAATGTGTCTGGTGGCCATTGTGGGCAGCAGTGGGCTTTGGGCCAAATTTTAAGTTTGAAAATCCAGATTCCCTCTTTTCAAGGGGCTGCCGGACTGAGCATATACAGGCACCGTGAAAAGAGCGTGCCATGTTCAGATTAAGGAAACAAGGATGGTTTCTGTTCAGTTCCTCCATCATGCCTCAGGTCATGCGATTCCCATTTCCCTCTGTGGACCAAAGAATTCAGTGGGGTTTCTGCCTTTTAAATATTTCATTATCAACATATCATCCTTTTAGCCTCCAGAAAGCATTTTAACATGGAGATTCTGGCTTAAGACTCTTGTGGGTCTGTCTGTCTCTCTTTTCCTTGAAACAGTCTCACTTTGTGACCTACGCTGGAGTGCAGTGGCAAGATCCCAGTTCACTGCAGCCCAACCTTCCAGGCTGTAGCAATCTTCCCATCTCAGCCTCCAAAGTACTTGGGACTACAGGCACACACCACTATAACTGGCTTTTTTTTTTTTTTGGGGTAGATATGAGGCTTCACCATGTTGCCCAGCTGGTCTTAAACTCCTGGGCACAAGTGATCCTCCCCTTTCAGCCTCTCAAAGTGCTGGGATTATTGGCTTGAGCCATCATGCCCAGCCAAGAACCTTGTCTCTTTTGATGCACCCCAGAACAAAACATCACTGCAAAAACACACCAAGGCATGAGTTTTAGTTCTAAGTCCCATTTATCCACCATACACTATGTACCAGGCACAAGGCTAAGTGCTTCTATGGACGAGCTTCCCTTAATCTCAGCAGTAACAACCCCAGGCAATGGGGCCTGTTGACAGATCCATTTGCCACTGAAGACAGTAAGGCTCAGAGAGGGTAAGTGGCTTGTGCCATGTCAGCCAGCTAAGGAAGGGCAGAACCAGGATGCAAACCCCAGCCGCCTGGCTCCAGACTTGGGTTTCCAAGGTCCCACTACACTTGGTCACTCCACTGCATTCTGGTATCCTGGTCTTTGGCAGAGTCCACGTAAAAGAAGGAGGTAGAGGGAGTGAGAGGGACTTCATGCAATAAAGTGTCCCGGCGTTACACTGCCACCGTAATTGTGTCCCGACCAGGACCTCTCCCTTCTCATCCTTTCCGTGATCGGCCCTGGAAAACCTTCCACAGAACTATCCTCCTTCTCCCAGGATCTCAGAGAGAATTCACCTGAGTTCAGTGTCCAGGTGACCCAAGCTCTGAATGCGGTAACGTGCACGGAGAGATGAGGATGTCACCATGAGCAAGCCTCCCAGACAGCATCCGGGAGCAACCCCAAGACTGTGCGGGGGGGGCTCTGATGCCGCCCACGGCGAGGAGGGCCGCCCGTGCTGCCTAAATGGGTTCAGAATGAAGGCCACCCTCTCGCCCATGTGGGGCTCATTCACCACGAATCCAATTATTAAGACAAGTTCAGCTGAGCAAATGGTCAAACATAAAAACATGTGGAAGGAACAAAAAGGTCAACCCCATTATCCATCAAAAACCGTCAAGGTGGCGGCCCTCACTGAGGGTTACAGCTCTCCAGTGGGACCTCATCTGCCCTCCAAACCCATGTGCCTCCTCAGTGGAAGGCCAGCAAAGCCACACAGGAAGAGTTGGCGTAGGAAAGCAGAAAGTGAACCCCAGGAGGACAGGCTGGCCACGGAGCCCCATCCCACACACACAGGCCCAGTGACTCAGGGGCCCACGTGTGCAGGACACCGGGAGCTCACAGGGACAGCGCCCCGGGGGATGGAAGGAACTTTGCCTCTCTGTCCCTCTCTGTAGGGATGGAAAGAGGAGAGCGATTTCTGGGATGGAAGCCATCTGCCTTCTCTCAACTCTCGCTGCCCAACCAGAAAGGGAAGAAAAACAGGAAGATGAGGGACAGGTGAGGAGCTGGGTGAGCGCCGCCAGCCCGCAGCCCAGCAGAGTAGGGCTTGGCCAAGCATGGCAGGGACTTCCCCCCTACCCACACCACAGGCCCCTCGCCAGGTGAGAGGCACCAACAGAGTCCCAGACAGATGCCCCAGACAGGATGCCCAGCGCAACCCCCGCCCTTTCCGCTAGGGACCCCCAGGACGCGGGGCTCCCCCTCCCCTTTTGGCCAGCCGCAGAGTCCAGCGGGTCTCCCGGCCAGGGACGTCGTGGGAGAATCAGGAAGTCGAAGCCACACAGCCGAGAAGGGGCAGCTGGCGTCTCGGAGGCCGTCACGAGCTGTCACTCCGCGCCCGCCGGAGTTGCCGCTCAATTACCAACTTTAACCCAGGGCCGGCCACGGAGCCTCCCGCCTCCCCTACCCCGCGCCCCTGGCACCCCCGGACCCCCGCGCCAACGTCACTTACTCCTCTGCCGTCGCCACCTGTCTGGGTGCCGGTCACCTCCCTGCCGGGCCGCGGCGCGTCCTCCCCGTCCTCGCAGTCCTCGGGCTGTGCGCTTCCCCTCTCCAGCAACAGCCGCAGCCTCTTCTCTTCGGGAGGGACGTCGTCCTCCTCCCTCCTGGGCCCGCCATCCCTGCCTCGGGGCTTGCCAGTGGCTTCGGAGCTGCCGGAAGGGCTGGCCATGGCTCTGGGGGCTCTGCCTGCACCTGGGGAAGAGGAAGGACCCGGCGCGAGCGGCCTGTCGGCGGAGCTGGGGCGTCTGAACGCGGGCTCGGTGGGTCCGCGCGGCGCGGAGCTGGGCATCAGGGCGGGCGCGGACTCCTCCGCGGGCCGCTCCTGGCTCTCTGGCGCCCTCTGCTGGCTGCCCGCGCGCACCGCGGACACGCCGGGCCCTGGCCTGCGCTGCGCTCACCTGCCCAGGCCCAAGCAGTCGCTGTCCCCTGCCTGTGGCCAGGCCCGCTCTGGCCAGGCCCTGCACCTCCTCCCCGCCCCAGCCAGGTTGCACCCCGATGGTCTCCCTGCCCAAGGAGGAGAGAAGAGAAGGGACGCCCCGAGAGGGTGGACATCGGCCACAGCCACCTTGTCTTTGCTCTTACCCTGTGTCTTCCATGATTTGGAGGTGGTGGGAAAACCGAGGCTGCTCAAAACTCGTGGAGAATTCTGCCTGCAGGATGACATGAATGCACCTTCGCATTGCCTACCAACAGATCTTTTTTGAGCATCTCTGTGGACCAGGTGTGGTGATGGGGGAGGGGATATTGTGGTGGACATGACAGGCATTGCCTTCACCCAGTGGGGCTCAGTGCTGGGTGAGAAGGCATTGAGAATGGACATTGTCAATTGGGCAAAAGGAGGCCAAGAAGAAGTGCTGGGTGCATGGGAACTGAAAAAGACAGGAGGCTCAGCAGGTCTTGGAGCTGGGAGAGGGCCAGCAGCAGTGGCTGTTCCAAAGGAAACAACAGCTGAGAGAGGTCTCAGAGAGTTGTTCTCAGCCCAGTGGAGGGTGTTCAGGCAGAAGGGACAGTGTGTGCAAAAGCCCAGAGGCTGGGAAAGAAGCAGAAAGAGGACTGTGGGGCTGGAGCGTGGTGGGCAAGAGGAGAAAGGTATGGTGGGCAGACAGATTACCTGGGACCCAGCCGTGCAGGGGCAGAGGAGATAGGGGATCCTTGCAGGTCCCCAGCCAGGGCTGAGGCACAGAGACAATGCAGGTGGGCAAAGGGAGGAGACGTGGAGAAATATTTTGGAGGCATGCCCTGATGAATGAGCCTAGGATGCACCCTTAGTGTCAGTGTGGAGCTCCTTCCTTGGCTGTGTGATGTGCTGAACTCGGGGGTATTTTCTGGACACTGAGGTGCTACACCAAGAGTCCAAGACAGGTTAAGTGAGCACCAGCAGCTCCTGGACTACCTCAAAAGCAGGAGAGACAGGGGAGACTGGGGAGGCCAGGGCGGAAGGGGAAGCCAGGAAGGCAGGAGAGGCCAGAGAAGTAGAGGAGGCCAGGGAGGCAGTGGAGGCAGGAGAGGCTGGGGAGGCTGTGTCCTTTCCATGATTCTGCCCAGGATCCTAGGCCCCTGTACTCCCTGAGCTTCCCCACCCCAAGTGTTGGAACCATGTTGCACAATGGTCTCCTCACTAAGCTCCTGATGGCAGCCCCTACCCTGCTGTGCTCCCTATTTCAACCCTAACAGCTCTCACAGTGGGCAGCACATAGAAGGTGCTCAGGAAACACTGATGGGAGAGCACATGGGTCTGCTCAGCACCTTCTTCTCTCCTCCAGCTCTCCCCATCATGAAATAATTCTGATAACGACACATGGACTTTGAGATCCTCTTCGATTACTTTCCATATGCTAATCCATCTATACCTCACAGCAGCCCTGGGGGTGGGTGCTATTAGGATGCCCATTTTACAGAGGAGGAGACTGAGGTATAAAGAGGGTAAGTGACATAGGCACACTACAGGGGCTGGGGCCAAGTGATCAGAGCACTCAATCCCCAAAGGCAAGGTGGATGCAGTTACCGTAAAAGACAGCAGAGTCAAAGCTGCAGCCAGAATAGCCTGACTCGCAGAGACATATGGTGCCAGCTGATCGTGGCTTTCCTAGAAGTGAAATAGATAAGAAGCCTGCCACATTTTTACTGGATCTGTGTTTGCAGAAGAGTTCTAGGTCAGGTGAGCAGAAGTCTAATGTGAATCATAAAAACAGAGTCACAGTCTCCCGTCAATTTCCAGACATAAGCCAGTTCACATACCCGAAGTCCCTTGTCTGAATGGGAAGCCAGGTCGCCTCCAGAAAGGACTCTGCTCCACTGCCAAAAATTTATACTATCAATCTTTCTCCCAGCCTGCCCCCAAGGGAATACACAGCCTTTTACCAGGATGACTAAACAGGAGAAAAGGAACTAATGAGACCTGTGCAGGATCACTGGACACAGGCTCTGAACTGGCACTACGATGAGACTAGGGTCTACCAGTCAGAATAGGCATTTTGGAGGTCAGGTGAATGTTGGTGCAAGTTCATGTCATGGTAGATCCATTGGGTCCCCAAATCCATCCTCTGGTTATATACAAAGCGGCAATGCTGAGATTCAAATTCAGGGCCTCCAACATAGAGGCTGGGCTCTTACTCATGAAACATTCTGACACTAGTAACCAATTTAAAAATGCAAACACCTCCTGGGGCTAGCCAGAGTCCTCCAAACAGTCATGTAAATTGGTTCTGTCAAGGATTTCCTCCCACCCCCTGCTGAGAGCCAGTTGCAAGGAGAGACTAGGGAAGGGCATTGGGTAACTTTGTTGCTAAAAGCTCTTCTGGATAAAGACATTTGGGAAAAGAAGCAAATAGAGTTCATCAGAAGAGGTAAGAAAGTAAGTTTATGTTTGGCCAGGCACGGTGGCTCACGCCTGTGATACCAGCACTTGGGAAGGCCGAGGCGGGCAGATCACGAAGTCAAGAGATCGGACTATCCTGGCCAACATGGTGAAGCCACGTCTGTACTAAAAATTCAAAAATTAGGTGGGCATGATGGCGCATGCCTGTAGTCCCAGTTACTCGGGAGCCTGAAGCAGGAGAATCACTTGAGCCCAGGAGGTGGAGGTTGCAGTGAGCGGAGATCATGCCACTGCACCCCAGCCTGGGCAATAGAGTAAGACTCTGTCTTAAAAAAAATAAAAATAAATAAATGGTATCCCCAATATTTTCCATGTACTGTCTTATTATCTCAGTAAATCCCATATAACCTTCCTATGAAAGTGTATCTCATTTATCTCCATTTTATAGAGAGAAAACTGAGGCCCCTGGAGTCCTATTAATTTTCCAAGACTGCATTGCTCATAAAGGGTACAGCAGGGACCCGAGCTCAACACTCTCACCCTCAAACATTTCCACAAGTGTAGACCAATGGCTCTCAACTGGGGTAGTTTTGCTCACGTACCACTCCCTTGCCCCACAGCATTTGAAAGCATCTGGAGACATCTGGGGTAGCCATAGCTGGGAGGGTAGAATGGCACCTAGAGGATGGAGACCAGAGATGCTGCTAACCATCCTACAATACACAGGACGCCCCCCACTCACCACCACCACGAATGGTCTGACCCCAAGTGTTGTGACTGTGCCAAAGCTGAGAAACCCAGGTTTCTCCTCAGCAAGAAGGGAAAATACCTGCAACGTGGATGCACCTCTACAGGCACCCCAGGCTGACAATAACCTTCCTGATCTGGTTTCAACCCTGGATGCTTTTACCTGGTGCGTCCATCAGGGATTTCAGGGACTCCAGTGAGTTATCACCCTTGAATGCTCGGTTCTGCCTGACGACCCAGAAATCTCTGCCAAGATGCCTGGTCTTGGGGAAGGCTCAGCAAATGGTTGAGGTTGATAACCAAATACCTAGGAGAGACTTTTCTCTCCCTCCAGGAGGAGCTGTGGGTCAGACACACCCTGGGATCATTCACAAGCGGTCAATAAAGGCTTGGCGAGGGCCAGGTTTTCTAGGCCTTCTCAATGGGATGGGTGTTTGTGGATACACAAGAAGCCTGTGAAACTTCTGATATTGGCAGGAAATCAATGTCCCCCACCCTCCACCCCCCCACATCCCCAACATAAACACATGCCCTGCAGCAGGACTTGGCACTCAGGGGCTCCTGGGGTCCCGATTTATCTGCTAAAACGTCCTCTAGTCACCACCGAATAAAGCAACCCCTTGCCACCCAACCACAAGAGCACAGCCTGGGAGCCACTCCAAGGGACACCAAGTCACAGTAAAACCTCAGCCATCCAGAGCACCAGGCCTGGTGATGAGAAAGAACATTTTATCCTTAAAAGCATCTGAATGCCTATGCTGCTTCTTGCAGAGAAAAGTCCAAAATAATCTGCTATTAAAGAACGAGGATGGTTTTGACATTTTTACCAAGCTAATGGTCTACGCAGACAAAATCTCATAAAAGGGCACTCTGTTCTTCTTGATCCACTCAGACATGGCCTGTGAGTGAAGAAACGGGCTCTCCTCCTCAAAGAAATCACTGCTGGTCCTCACACCAGCCTGACACTGCTTCATGGGTTCTTCAAAGAGAGTATTCCCATAGAAACTAAAAGGGAAGAGGAATGTGTCTGGCGGCCATTGTGGGCAGCAGTGGGCTTTGGGCCAAATTTTAAGTTTGAAAATCCAGATTCCCTCTTTTTGAGGGGCCGCCGGACTGAGCATATACAGACACCGTGAAAAGAGGGTGCCATATTCAGATTCAGGAAACAAGGATGGTTTCTGTTCAGTTCCTCCATCATCCTTCAGGTCATGCGATTCCCATTTCCCTCTGTGGACCAAAGAATTCAGTGGGGTTTCTGCCTTTTAAATATTTCATTATCAACATATCATCCTTTTAGCCTCCAGAAAGCATTTTAACATGAAGATTCTGGCTTAAGACTCTTGTGGGTCTGTCTGTCTGTCTCTCTCTCTTTTCCTTGAAACAGAGTCTCACTTTGTCACACAGGCTGGAGTGCAGTGGCAAGATCCCAGCTCACTGCAGCCCGACCTTCCAGGCTGTAGCAATCCTCCCACCTCAGCCTCCAAAGTACTTGGGACTACAGGCACACACCACCATGCCTGGCTTTATTTTTTATTTTTTTATTTTTGGTTGATATGAGGCTTCACCACGTTGTCCAGGCTGGTCTTAAACTCCTGGGCTCAAGCGATCCTCCCCTTTCAGCCTCTCAAAGTGCTGAGATTATTGGCTTGAGCCACCATGCCGAGCCAAGAACCTTGTCTCTTGTGATGCACCCCAGAACAAAACATCACTGCAAAAACACACCAAGGCATGAGTTTTAGTCCTAAGTCCCATTTATCCACCATACACTATGTGCCAGGCACAACGCTAAGTGCTTCTATGGACAAGCTTCCCTTAATCTCAGCAGTAACAACCCCAGGCAATGGGGCCTGTTGACAGATCCATTTGCCACTGAAGACAGTAAGGCTCAGAGAGGGTAAGTGGCTTGTGCCATGTCAGCCAGCTAAGGAGGGGCAGAACCAGGATGCAAACCCCAGCCGCCTGGCTTCAGACTCGCGTTCCCAAGGTCCCACTACGTTTGGTCACTCCACTGCATTCTGGTATCCTGGTCTTTGGCAGATTCCACATAAAAGAAGGAGGTAGAGGGAGTGAGAGGGACTTCACGGAATAAAGTTTCCTGGTGTTACACTGCCACCGTAATTGTGTCCCCGATCGGGACCTCTGCCTTCTCATCCTTTCCGTGATCGGCCCTGGAAAACCTTCCTGAGAACTGTCCTCCTTCTCCCGGGATCTCAGAGAGAATTCACCTGAGTTCAGTGTCGAGGTGACCCAAGCTCTGAATGCAGTAACGTGCATGGGGAGATGAGGATGTCACCATGAGCAAGCCTCCCAGACAGCATCCGGGAGCAACCCCAAGACTGGGCAGGGGTGCTCTGATGCAGCCCACGGCGAGAAGGGCTGCCCGTGCTGCCTAAATGGGTTCAGAATGAAGGCCGCCCTCCCAACTTCAACCCGGGGCCGGCCACGGAGCCTCCCGCCGCCCCTACCACGCGTCGCTGGCACCCCCGCTCCCCCGGCACCCCGGGTCCCCCGCGCCCGCGTCACTTACTCCTCTGCCGTCGCCACCTGTCTGGGTGCCGGTCTCCTCCCTGCCCGGCCTCGGCGCGTCCTCCCCGTCCTCGCAGTCCTCGGGCTGTGCGCTTCCCCCCTCCAGCAAGAGCCGCAGCCTCTTTTCTTCGGGAGAGACGTCCTCCTCCTCCCTCCTGGGCCCGCCATCCCTGCCTCGGGGCTTGCCAGTGGCTTCAGAGCTGCCGGAAGGGCTGGCCACGTCTCCGGGGGCTCTGCCTGCACTTGGAGAAGAGGAAGGACCCGGCGCGAGCGGCCTGTCAGCGGAGCTGGGGCGTCTGAGCGCGGGCTCGGTGGGTCCGCGCGGCGCGGAGCTGGGCATCGGGCTCCTCCGCGGGCCGCTCCTGGCTCTCTGCTGGCCGCTCACGCGCACCGCGGACACGCCGGGCCCGGGCCTGCGCTGCGCTCACCTGTCCTGGCCCAGGAGGTCGCTGTCCCTTGCCCGTGGCCAGGCCCGCTCTGGCCAGGCCCTGCACCTCCTCCCCGCCCCAGCCAGGTTGCACCCCGATGGTCTCCCTGCCCAAGGAGGAGAGAAGAGAAGGGACGCCCTGAGAGGGTGGACATCGGCCACAGCCACCTTGTCTTTGCTCTTACCCTGCGTCTTCCATGATTTGGAGGTGGTGGGAAAACTGAGGCTGCTCAAAACTCGTGGAGAATTCCGCCTGCAGGATGACATGAATGCACCTTCGCATTGCCTACCAACAGATCTTTTTTGAGCATCTCTGTGGACCAGGCGTGATGATGGGGGAGGGGATATTGTGGTGAACATGACAGGCGTTGCCTTCACCCAGTGGGGCTCAGTGCTGGGTGAGAAGGCATTGAGAATGGACATTGTCAATTGGGCAAAAGGAGGCCAAGAAGAAGTGCTGGGGGCATGGGAACTAAAAAAGACAGGAGGCTCAGCAGGTCTTGGAGCTGGGAGAGGGCCAGCAGCAGCGGCTATTCCAAAGGAAACAACAGCTGAGAGAGGTCTCAGAGAGTTGTTCTCAGCCCAGTGGAGGGTGTTCAGGCAGAAGGAACAGCGTGTGCAAAAGCCCAGAGGCTGGGAAAGAAGCAGAAAGAGGACTGTGGGGCTGGAGCATGGTGGGCAAGGTGAGAGAGGTGTGGTGGGGGGACAGATTGCCTGGGACCCAGCTGTGCAGGGGCAGAGGAGATAGGGGATCCTTGCAGGCCCCCAGCCAGGGCTGAGGCACAGAGACAATGCAGGTGGGCAAAGGGAGGAGACGTGGAGAAATATTTTGGAGGCATGCCCTGATGAATGAGCCCAGGATGCACCCTTAGTGTCAGTGTGGAGCTCCTTCCTTGGTTGTGTGATGAGCTGAACCCGGGGGTATTTTCTGGACATCGAAATGCTACACCCAGAGTCCAGGACAGGCTAAGTGAGCACCAGCATCTCCTGGCCCACCTCAAAAGCAGGAGAGACAGGGGAGACTGGGGAGGGCCGGGGTGGAAGGGGAAGCCAGGAAGGCAGGAGAGGCCAGGGAAGCAGAGGAGGCCAGGGAGGCAGTGGAGGCAGGAGAGGCTGGGGAGGCTGTGTCCTTTCCATGATTCTGCCCAGGATCCTAGGTCCCTGTACTCCCTGAGCTTCCCCACCCCAAGCTCTGGAAACATGTTACAGAATGGTCTCCCCACTAAGCTCCTGATTGCAGCCCCTACCCTGCTGTGCTCCCTATTTCAACCCTAACAGCTCTCACAGTGGGCAGCACATAGTAGGTGCTCAGGAATCACTGGTGGGGGAGCACATGGGTCTGCTCAGCACCTTCCTCTCTCCTCCAGCTCTCCCCTGTCACGAAATAATTCTGATAAGAACACATGGGCTTTGAGTCCCTCTTCTATTACTTTCCATATGCTAATCCATCTATACCTCACAGCAGCCCTGGGGGTAGGTGCAATGAGGATGCCCATTTTATAGAGAAGGAAACTGAGGTATAAAGAGGGTAAGTGACATAGGCACACTACAGAGGCTGGGGCCAAGTGATCAGAGCACTCAATCCCCAAAGGCAAGGTGGATGAAGTTACCATAAAAGACAGCAGAGTCAAAGCTGCAGCCAGAATAGCCTGACTCGCAGAGACATATGGTGCCAGCTGATCATGGCATTCCTAGAAGTGAAATAGATAAGAAGCCTGCCACATTTTTACTGGATCTGTGTTTGCAGAAGAGTTCTAGGTCAGGTGAGCAGAAGTCTAATCTGAATCATAAAAACAGAGTCACAGTCCCCAGTCAATTCCCAGACATAAGCCAGTTCACAGACCCGGAGTCCCTTGTCTGAATGGGAAGCCAGGTCCCCTCCAGAAAGGACTCTGCTCCAATGCCACAAATTAATACTATCAATCTTTCTCCCAGCCTGCCCCCAAGGGAATACACAGCCTTTTACCAGGATGACTGAATAGTAGAAAAGGAACTAATGGGACCTGTGCAGGATCACTGGACACAGGCTCTGAACTGGCACTAGGGCGAGACTAGGGTCTACCAGTCAGAAAAGACATTTTGGAAGTCAGGTGAATGTTGGTGCAAGTTCATGTCATGGTAGGTCCATTCGGTCCCCAAATCCATCCTCTGGTTATATACAAAATGTCTATGTTGAGATTTAAATTCAGGGTATCCAACTTAGAGGCTGTGCTCTTACTCATGAAACATTCTGACACTAGTAACCAATTTAAAAATGCAAACACCTCCTGGAGCTAGCGAGAGTCCTCCAAACAGTCATGTAAATTGGTTCTGTCAAGGATTTCCTCCTAACCCCCCCACCCCCCCGCTGAGAGCCAGTTGCAAGGAGAGACTAGGGAAGGGCATTGGTTAACTTTGTTGCTAAAAGCTCTTCTGGATAAAGAAGAGCTTTATCCAGAAAAAAAGAAGCAAAATAGAGTTCAGCAGAAGTTGAGAAAAGAAGCAAATAGAGTTCAGCAGAAGAGGTAAGAAAGTAAGTTTATGTTTGACCAGGCACAGTGGCTCACGCCTGTAATCCTAGCACTTTGGGAAGCCAAGGCGGGCAGATCACGAGGTCAAGAGATAGCACCATCCTGGCCAACATGGTGAAGCCCCGTCTGTACTAAAAATTCAAAAATTAGCTGGCCATGATGGCACACCCCTGTAGTTCTAGCTACTCGGGAGCCTGAGGCAGGAGAATCACTTGAACGCAGGAGGCAGAGGTTGCACAGGGCCGAGATCATGCCACTGCATTCCAACCCGTTGATAGAACAAGACTCCATCTCATAAAACAAAACAAAACAAAACAAACAAAAAAAAACTAAGCTTATTTTTAAGCCTGAACAAGTGTAGTGGTTTAGGGGTTCTGCAAACACGGCCCCAGTCAGGCTACAAGATGTTGTGGCAGCAATATTTACACCCAGTCACTCCTGGCCGGCTGAGCCACTTTTCAAAACACCCTTGCACGGCTGTGCAGAGCGGATGGCTCCACTGGCAGCCGGCAAAGCCATAACTCACACTGTCACCACTGCCCTCAAACCCCTTCAGTAAGTACTTTGTTTTTTTGAGACGGAGTCTTGCTCTGTCATCCAGGCTGGAGTGCAGTGGCACAATCTCGGCTCACTGCAAGCCCTGCCTCCTGGGTTCATGCCATTCTCCTGCCTCAGCCTCCCAAGTAGCTGGGAATACAGGCGCCCGCCACCATGCCCGGCTAATTTTTTGTATTTTTAGTGGAGACGGGGTTTCACCGTGTTAACCAGGATGGTCTCGATCTCCTGACCTTGTGATCTGCCTGCCTCGGCCTCCCAAAGTGCTGGGATTAGAGGCGTGAGCCACCGCGCCCGGCCTGGTAAGCACTTTTAATCAATGCAACAGGAATAAACATTTGCTGCAGAGTGGCAATGTGCAGGGAGGAAAATGCTTCCACTCAGGCTCAGAAAGCAAAACCTCCTGGCTGTTTGCATCTGTGCAAGAGCTCGCAGGAAAAGCCCTCTGTGTGGCTGCCAGCCTCACACATTCCCCCCAAGGGGTGAGTTTCTCTTTCCATATTAATCTATGCTGTGACGTGCCATCTGTCAACCACCACACCATTCTCAGTTGCCATTTCAAAGCATCTTTGCCCTGTGAATGGTAACCAGCCCTGCCCTGCAATCCCCCAGGTGACATTGAACTTAAATGAGAGAGAAAACAGGTTCCAGGGTGGATTTCAGTTCAGCATCTTGGAGTCTCTGTGTGGACATGAAATCTGTCTCCCCAGCTGTGGGCTGCATCTTTGTTTGTCATCTGGTTTGGTTCTTGGGGACTTGGAAACTCGTGGGCACCTTTGCAATTTGTCAAGAAGCTGCACGGCCCTTCCAACAAAAGCGAGGAATAGGAACAGAAGCCCAAGGCTTCAGATCAATGTGCAACTTAAAGGAGACTCAGTGTAAAAGCAAACAAGAGTCAGAGGGATGCCTAAGGCAGAGTCTAGTCCCCAGGGCAGCTATAAGGCAAAGAGAAAGAGAGAGAGATAGACAGAGACAGAGACAGAAAGACAGAGGGAGATGGGAGGAGACATGAGGCACCCAGCCCTCTGCATCAAAATCTGTACAAGAGGGGCCTCCTAAAAATGCAGGAGGCTGAGGTGGGTGCACACAGAAGTTCAAGACTAGCCTGTGCAAAATAGCAAGACCGTGACTTTACAAAAAATACAAAAATTAGCCGGGTGCGGTGGTGTATGTCTGTGGTCCCAGTTACCCAGGAGGCTGAGGTGGGAGGATGGCTTGAGCCTAGGAGGTAGAGCTGCAGCGAGCTGAGATAGCACCACTGCACTCCAGCCTGGGCAACAGAGTGAGACTTCATCTCAAACAAATTTAAAAAAAATTTTTAAAGGATCACCCTGGCTACTTGAATGGGTAATAAGAAGGTAACAGCAGAAGCAAGGAGACCAGCAGGGAGATTCTGCAGGTGGGAGTCCACAGTGGCTCAGACCAGGCTGGCGCTGAAGACTGCCTGAATTCTGTACATATTTTGATGATGAAGCAACTCACCGACTCTTGAAGAGTGGGCTCTAGGAGACTGTATTTTTAATAAGCTCTCAGAGGAGTCTAATGCAGGCTGAAGTTGAAGAACTGATTTAGGTGAAGCTTCTGTTTCATTCTTGGGGAAGTACCTACTGACTTTTCTCTAAGCCACCTCAAAAGAGGTGCTAGATAAGATGTGCTCCAATGTCTGAACATGTGTGCACAGCTCTAAAGCCAACCTCAGGACACTGAGTCAAAGGTTAGGAGTACAACAGTGAACAACCACTGTCCTCTTTTCAATGAGCTTTGCATTTAATGAGAGAAATAAAAAGAAAAAAAATCATTTTCAACTCAGAATGGTAAGAGTTATGGTGACAGTATGCCTGGGGCAATGGGAGCAAATAGAAGGGGCACCCGATTGGCTAGGTGCAGTTGTTCTTGCCTGTAATCCCAGCACTTTGGGAGGCCAAGGTGGGTGGATCACTTGAGGCCAGGAGTTCGAAAACAGCCTGGCCAACATGGTGAAATCCTGTCTTTACTAAAAATACAAAAAAAATTAGCCAGATGTGGTGGTGGGCACCCGTAATTCCAGATACTCAGAAGGCTGAGGTGGGAGAATTGCTTGAGCCCGGGAGGCGGAGATTGCAGTGAGCCAAGATCGCGCCACTGCACTCCAGTCTGCATGGTCAGAGCGAAACTCCGTCAAAAAAATAAATAAATAAATAAATAAATAAAAGTCCGGAGGTGGGTGGACATGCAATCTCTATCAGGTGGTGAGAAATCTTTCTCCACCACAGGACTCCTCAGTTGAAGACTAGAAAATGGTAGGAATTAGCCAGGTCGATAGGAGAGGTGTGGAAGATCATTCCCAGCAGAGGGAAGAGCACGTGCAAAAATCAAGACGTGAGAGGGTGAGGAGCTGAGAGATGTTCATATAATTCTAAAAAGTGACTAATATAGAGGTAAGTTGGAGCCAAATCTTAAAGGCTCTTTGTCGTGTTTATCCTGTAGACAAAGGGAGACAGTAGATGTTTTTAGGCAGGGGAGTAATGATCCACTTTGTGCTATAAAAAGAGCAGTCTGGCTGGAGGAGAGTGGGAGGTGAGTAGACCAGGTAGGAGGCTGCAATACGCCAAGTGAGACAAGATGGTTGGCTGGACCAAGGCTGTGGCAGTGAGGATGGAGAGGAGACAGTAGACTAACTTGACTGAGAAAGAGGGAGGAATGAAGGAGGAGGCCCAGGTGTTTTGGAAGCTGGGTGGATGGTGGTGTGAATCTGAAGTGGTGAGCCCAGGCAGAAGAGGAAATCAGGAGAGGCAAGGTAAGATGAGGTCAATGCAAGAAAGACAGCCAAGTGGAGATAACAACTGGGCCGTTGGATTCATCAGCCTGGAGTTATACAGAGAGCTCTGGAATGGAAATAAAGAGGAAAGGACTTTGGGAATAGGTGAATCCTCCCAGAATAATGTGTAGAGAAAGGAGAATAGAACACAGAGGACAGAAAAAGGGAAGAGATTCGTTATTAAAACCAACCATCCATCAGACATCTTCCAATAAAACACTTGTTAGAGGTTTCCTCAGTGTGAGTTATTCAGGACCAGAGCTAAAGACCATATTCCCAATGAAATCACTGCGGGGAAGGTCTTCATGAAAACATTGAATGCTGCTTTTAAAACAACAACAACAACAAAAAGGCTTTAGCTACTGCACAGACCCTGGAGCAATTTTTCGGCAAGAGTCTATCAAAAACGAATGTGATCTGACGCAAAGAGGTGACATATCTAGTGTAAAAATCCAATTCCAATGTCCATAACAGCCTTTCTGCCAGGTACAAGACCCTAATCCAGTTGAAGTGATTTTCTATTGATTAATAGGCTGGGAATACACAGGTTGTTGGTTTTTGAGATTTCCCTCCCTGTACCTTCATGCCAGCTGTGAAAGAGTCAAAAGGCTCCTAACTGTCAAAATAAAAATGACACTTGGTCACAGAGGAAACAGATTATAGGTCAATCACATTGATGACTTTTTAACTATGAGAAGCCATTAATGTTACTGAATAAGCAAATCTGTTTGCATAACCAGATTTTTATAGGCTACTGGGAATAAAGGTTTTCCTAAGTGGGTGATTTGTATAACGATAGCCTTTGGGTCTCTGATGGAACAGCTCTGATGAGGAAATGTTCCTTTAATTATGTGGAAGGCCAATTACCACGTTATAGCCACATTGTTTTGCAGATTGCATATAATTTCACCATTTCCATAGCTTCAGCACTATAATTCTGGAGAAAATTCAGGCACCAAGGAGACACTTGAGGCACACTATGCTGGAGACAAAGATGTTTTAGAGAATTCAATATAAGCTTCAACATTATTTTGTTGAATAAAACATAATGCAATAATGAGCTTGTGTATGTCAACTCTATAGTGGAGGTAATAATAGCTAGAGAGAGCATGTCCCGTCTCCTCTTTTTAATGCTCATTCGAGTAATACATAATGCTATAGAGAGAAACTTTCTCTAATATGCGCTTCATCTCAGGCTAAGCGTGTTTTGGGCAACTGTGCTTCATGAAAAAAAAAAGTAAAGGATCTAATTTGGGAGCCATTCACAAAAGTACTACCAGTTGATGTTTTTTTATACTCTGAGATTTCTTATTCCCAGTGCCTACCAGGAATGGACTTTCTGGAGAAGCTCAGATTAATCACTCCTTATGAGAGGTGACAGCATGCTGGCAGCCCTCACAGCCCTCGTTCGCTCTCGATGCCTCCTCTACCTGGGCTCCCACTTTGGCGGCACTTGAGGAGCCCTTCAGCCCGCAGCTGCACGGTGGGAGCCCCTTTCTGGGCTGGCCAAGGTCGGAGCTGGCTCCCTCAGCTCGCAGGGAGGTGTGGAGAGAGAGACGTGAGCCGGAACCGGGGCTATGCGCGCTACTTGCCTGCCGGCTGGAGTTCCGGGTGGGCGTGGGCTTGGCAGCCCCGCACTAGGATCTGCCGGCCAGCCTGGCCAGCCCGGGCAGTGAGGGGCTTGGCACCTGGGCCAGCAGCTGCTGTGCTCGACTTCTCGCCGGGCCTTAGCTGCCTCCCCGCGGGGCAGGGCTCGGGACCTGCAGCCCGCCATTCCTTAGCCTCCCCCCTCCGTGGGCTCCTGTGCGGCCCGAGCCTCCCCGACGAGCACCGCCCCCTGCTCCATGGCACCCAGTCCCATCGACCACCCAAGGGATGAAGAGTGTGGGCACACGGAGAGGGACTGGCCGGCAGCTCCACCTGCAGCTCCTGTGCGGGATCCACTGGGTGAAGCCAGCTGTGCTCCTGAGTCTGCTGGGGACTTGTAGAACCTTTATGTCTAGCTAAGGGATTATAAATACACCAATCGGCACTCTGTATCTAGCTCAAGGTTTGTAAACACAACAATCAGCACCCTGTGTCTAGCTCAGGGTTTGTGAATGCAACAATCAACACTCTGTATCTAGCCATTATGGTGGGGACTTGGAGAACCTTTGTGTGGACACTCTGTATCTAGCTAATCTAGTGGGGACGTGGGGAGCCATTGTGTCTAGCTCAGGGATTGTAAACGCACCAATCAGTGTCCTGTCAAAACAGACCACTCAGGCTCTCTGTAAAATGGACCAATCAGCAGGATGTGGGTGGGGCCAGGTAAGAGAATAAAAGCAGGCTGCCCGAGCCAGCAGTGGCAACCTGCTGGAGTCCCCTTCCACACTGTGGAAGCTTTGTTCTTTTGCTCTTTGCAATAAATCTTCTTGCTGCTCACTCTTTGGGTCCACACTGCCTTTATGAGCTGTAACACCGAGAAGGTCTGCAGCTTCACTCCTGAAGCCAGCGAGACCATGAACCCACCAGGAGAAATGAACAACTCCAGACGTGCAGCCTTAAGAGCAGTAACACTCTCCATGAAGGTCTGCAGCTTCACTCCTGAACCAGCGAAACCACAAACCCCACCAGAAGGAAGAAACTTCAAACACATCCGAACATCAGAAGGAACAAACTCCAGACACGCCACCTTTAAGAACTGTAACACTCACCAGGAGGGTCTGCGGCTTCATTCTTGAAGTCAGTGAGGCCAAGAACCCACCAATTCCGGACACACTTACACACTTGGCACTGGGAGGTCTGTATGGAGCAAATGAAGAAATCAGCAGAGTGAATATAGAGGGAGAACAACATGATGGGGGAAGGCAAAGTTACTGCCATGTTGGTTTCAATTCTGCCACTCATGAGAGAGACCCATGATCTCCTCTCTCTAGGACTCTGTTGTTCTTATCTGTAGAGTGGAGGAATAGAAGGGCCTTTTAAAGTATTAACATTTCCTGACCAATTTGTAAAACACTTTCATTCAAACTGATGGGAATCTTGACTACTTTGCCAAGAGGACATAATAATCATCAAGCTGAATGCACCAAACAACATTGCCTGAAACTATCTAAGCAAAAACTGAGAAAGTTACACAGGACAGACAAACCTCCTATAAGAGTAAGAACTCTTTAGCACATACTTAGTGTGTCAAAGACAATGCTATGTTCACACCATTCCTCTTCCTGGGCATGCAGAAAGACTACATTTCCCAGCCTCACTTGCAGTTAGTTTGGAACCATGTGACTGCATTTCCGCCAATAGGAATGTAAGAAATCCCTTCTGGGCCAAGGTTATCAAAGGCAAGTGTGAGCTATGTTCCCTCTCTTCCTATCCATATGGCTACAAGTGAAAAACTCTGAGATGGCAGACTAAAAGATGGAAACCTCCAGAATCTCTGAATCACTATTGGACAAGGGCCCCCAAGGAGAACCCCTGCCCTGCACCAGACTATGCTATGGGTGTCAACCCACTGAGAGTTCAGGGTTTATTCGTCTCAGCAGCAGTCTATTCTTACACTGACTAACATCCTAAGGTTTGAGAGATCTAGCATATTGTTAATTGAAGCTAGATTTCAATTACACTGAAAACCTTATCTATTTAAAAATAAAAACTCTCCAAAAAAACCCAAATAATCCACATTCCTTTTAACCACATGTGGCAAATTTGCAAAAAAAAAAAAAAAAACTGGCCACATATTAGGCCATAAAGAAGTCTCAACAAAATCCACTATACGATTGACATTGTCCAGACCACATTTTCCTGACCATAATGCAACAAAATTAGAAGTCAACAGCAAGAAGATAGCTAAACACAAGCATACATTTGGAAAATTAAAAATATCTTTTCATGAGTTAAATGAAAAATCACAATAGAAATTACTAAACATTTACAACTGAACAAAAACACATCTTGATATATATATACATATATATATGTATTTTTTTGTGAGTCTTCCAACTTTATTCTCTTTTATAAGGTTATTTGGTAAATTCTGGGTCTCCTGCAATTCCTCATACAGTTTTATGCTGTTTGTCAATTTCTGTGGCGGGGATGAACTTATCGTAGTTCTCATAGACCAGGGTTTGCATGTCGCTGTCTAGAGCCCGGATCTGCTGCACCATGTCCGTCTCACTGTCCATCAGCTGGGCCAGAGGGCACTCTCTAGGCAGCTTGTCTAGGTAAACTTCCGGGTTGAAGTGTGCCCCGTTCAGATCAGTGGGGTCCAGGGGGTCGGTCCCCGCGAGGAGTCTCACCGCCTCCCCTTCCGAGAGGCCGTTGTAAAGCTTTAACATCCTGTGTGCCTTCCGCCGACGCTCCGTGAGCCTCCCCCTCGGGCCCTTCTGGGGAGTCCCCAGGTCCACACCCCGGGCTAGGCCCAGTGACAGCTGCCGCCGCCATAGCTCCAACTGCAGCCGACGGGCGTAACTTTTTATATTTTTACGTTGGATACATGAAGATACTTGGCTTTTGCTTTCATCACATCGTTGAGGAAAGAGGTGGTTGCTTATGGTACCCCTGTTTTTACTGCAACCTGTAATGGATGAGAACCTCCCTGTTGCAGAGAGCAAAACACTGAACTAAATTGTGTTGTAAAACAGCCCTTTGTTGGGGGATTGGGAGTGATCATGCAAACGCTTGCAAATTTGCACAGTGACAGAGACAATCGTTTGGGCAGCTGTTCACTATATGAAAACGCAATTGACCAAAAGTCAGTTACTGAGCTATCTCAATACTTTCATTTTATTTTAACTTTTGGCAGCAGGGTGCAATTAAAGGAGAGAAAGAAAACAAAGCGATAAGTGTAAGATAATGTACACACATGTGTAAAAGAAAATGACAAGACAGGATGACTATTTGTC
The DNA here is from genome assembly GCF_000001405.40 of Homo sapiens. Classification (NCBI taxonomy): domain Eukaryota; kingdom Metazoa; phylum Chordata; class Mammalia; order Primates; family Hominidae; genus Homo; species Homo sapiens. The sequence goes on along the minus strand of NT_187537.1, from coordinate 90,106 downwards.
TCTTGGTTAGCTCCTTGTGCTCTATGTCTCCTTCCTCAGAGAAAATCGTTTTCCTTTGTCCAGATTTGTTAGGGTGGATAATCCAGGCGCCTGCTCCCCCATGATGGAAGCCAAAGACGTCCCTGGAGCCGCCTCCCGCTGCACCCTTTCCTGCACTGCCCACATGGACACAACTCAGCCGATTAGACTTCCTCTCAGAACTTTAGTCTTGAGCAAAGGGATTAAAGGGCGAAGTGACTGAAGGTATGCCCTTCCAAAGTGGTATGTGAGCTAATGGCTAAAGTTTGCCAAGCCCATCCAATCACTTTTTTTCATAATTTTTATTTATTTATTTTTTTGAGACAGAGTCTTGCTCTGTTGCTCAGGCTGGAGTGCAGTGGCATGTTCTCGGTTCACTGCAACCTCTGTCTCCCGGCTTCAAAGGAGTCTCCTGTCTCAGCCTCCCCAGTAGCTGGGATTACAGGCATACGCCACCATTCCTGGCTAATTGTGTGGGTGTGTGTGTGTATTTTTAGTACAGACAGGGTTTCACCATGTTGGCCAGGCTGGTCTCGAACTCCTGACCTTGTGATTCGCCTGCCTCAGCTTCCCAAAGGGCTGGGATTACACGTGTGAGCCATCGCGCCCAGCTTCAAGAAGTTTTAAGCAGAGCTCAGAGGTCTTAACCACAGACACCTCGGAGGAACATTTTTGAAACACTTTCCAGCTTCCTCAATAGGAATGGAAGCCAAACTCCGAATTGATGACTCCTTTGAGGAAGTCGAGAGCTGTACAGAAAGCCAGGAACAGGGGAAAGGGAGAGATGCGTCCCGAATGATCCTGTGCCAATTCTTTCTGGAATCCTCGATGTGATCTCAGCTGTCCTTTCCATACTTGACACAGTGATTGTGGCACCCACTGGTCTAGCTGTGGTCTACAAGGAACCCCCAAAGGGAGGGGCACAGTGAGCAGGGGCAACCGCCTGAGTGACTAGAATTTGAGAGGGCAGGTTGGTTGCAGGGAGAGGACTGCCCAAATGCCATGTGTCTGGACTTAGACTGCTCGGTTCAAATTGGACTTCACCTTTTTTGACTTCGTGATTTGGTACAAGCTACATGAAAATCCGTTGCGCCTTTTCTAGTCTGTAAAATAATCATGAAATGTGCGCTAATAACATGGAGACTATGCAGATGAAATGAAACAAGCTGCATAGAGCACAGAGCTCAGAGCCTGGCCTTCAGGAAGCCCTCAGTAAGGGTTCATGATGCCATGGTGTCTGTCGTCATCCTCTTTATCCTCATCATCACCTTCATAATCTTTTTGTTGTTCTTAGGGAATAGTTTAGAGGGACTGATTCCCTGCTATCATGGGTGAGATGTCTATGAAAAGGACAACCAGTGGGGGAAGAAAGCAAAATTTTGAATAAGATTTCTGAGACCCCCACCACAACCAAGAACAGAAACTCCACACTCTGCTGAGCAGAGAGTTGCACATTGGTCTCCTTACATCTGCCCACCGCAGTCTCTTGTTTGTCCTGAGGATGAGGAAACAAACAAGGCCCCCAACCGTCCCTCAGCACTCACTTGAAGGGGTGGCCTGCCTCTCCACACCTGTGGGTATTTCTAGTCGGGTGGGACGAGAGACCGAGAAAAGAAATAAGACAGAGAGACAAAGTATGGAGAAACAACAGTGGACCTAGGTGACCAGCACTCAGCATACCAAGGACCTGCATCAGCACAGGCCTCTGAGTTCCCTCAGTTTTTATTGATTATTATTTTTATTATTTTAGCAAAAAGGAATGTAGCAGGAGGGCAGGCTGATAATAAGGAGAAGGTCAGCAAAGAACATGTAAGCAATAGAATCTTTGTCATAAGGAAGTTCAAGGGAAGGTACTATGACTGGACATGTACGTAAGCCAGATTTATGTTTCTCTCCACCCAAACATCTCAGTGGAGTAAAGAATAACAAGGCAACATTGCTGCAAACATGTCTCGCCTCTCACCATAGGGCGGTTTTTCCCCCATCTCAGAATTGAACAAATGTACAATCGGGTTTTATACCAAGACATTCAGTTCCCAGGGGCAGACAGGAGACAGCGGCCTTCCTCTGTCTCAACTGCAAGAGGCTTTCCTCTTTGACTAATCCACCTCAGCACAGACCCTTTACGGGGGTCGGGCTGGGGGACGCTCAGGTCATTCTCCTCCCAAGAGGCCACTTTTCAGACTATCACATGGGGAGAAACCTTGGACAATACTCTGCTTTCAAGAGCAGGGCTCCCTGTGGCTTTCCACAGTGCATTGTGCCGCTGGTTTATTGAGACTAGAGAATGGCGATGACTTTTACCAAGTCTACTGCTTGGAAACATCTTGTTAACAAGGCATGTCCTGCACCCCTAGATCCCTTAAACCTTGATTTCATACAACACATGCTTTTGTGAGCTTCATGTTGGGTCAAAGTGGTTGGTTCAAAGTGACTGGGGCAAAGCTACAGATTAACAACATCTCAGCAAAGCAATTGTTGAAAGTACAGGTCTTTTTCAAAATGGAGTCTCTTATGTCTTTCCTTTCTACATAGACACAGTAAGAGTCTGATCTCTCTTTCTTTTGCCTACACTCGCTGAACTGCCCCTACTCTCTGCTGGGACATGACCACGGAGAACAGGTCCACTGTCCTACCTGCTTGGTGCACCATGGAGGCTCAGACTCTGTCCTCAAGGCTGGCAAGAAGACAGGGTGAGAGATGAGCCCCCGATACAGGTGACGGGAGTGGAGCCCACAGGACTGCAACCTCACACTGCAGGGCTGGAGGCACAGACGGAGTATTTACTATTCTGTGGCCTGGGGGCTCAAGGCACAGAGCTCCTCATTAGCCTAAGTCGCCCAAGTTCCCCAACCTCTAAGGATTTCCTCATAATATTGCAAGAAGAACAGAAAAGTGAGCGTCCACAGAAGCATTGGGGCTCTCCCTCTAATCAGGAGAAAGCTGGAGTGTATTCTTCGCTTCTTTCTTTTCTTTTTAAACATCCAACTGCTTTAATTTTCATCTTTTATTATGGGAAAATATACCACGTATAAATATTAAAAATTGTAAATATGTATTAGTTCATATAGAATGGCCAGTATACACATTTACAATTTCCACTGTTTTTCAGTTTACAGTTTAATGACATTAAGTACATTCACATTGTTTAGAACCATCACCGCCATCGTCTCCGGAACAGTTTTATCTTTCAAAATGGAAATTCTACCCATTCACCAAGCTCTCCATTCCTCTCTCTCGCCCACCCCTGGGGGCCACCTTTCTAGTTTGCAACTCTATGGGTTTCACTACTCTAGACACTTCATAGAAAAGTGGAATCATACCGTGTTTAATTTTTTTGTTTTGGAGACAGAGTCTTTCTCTGTCACCCAGGCTGGAGTGCAGTGGCGTGATGTCACCTCACTGCAACCTCCACATCGTGGGTTCAAGCGATTCTTGTGTCTCAGTCTCCCGAGTAGCTGGGATTACAGTCGTGCGCCACCACGCCCAGATAATTTTTGTATTTTTAATAGAGACGTGCTTTCATCATATTAGCCAGGCTGGTCTCGAACTCCTGACCTGAAGTGATCCGCCTGGCACAGCCTCCCAAAGTGCTGGAGTTACAGGTGCGAGCCACCGAACATGGGCCTGTTTATCCTTTTGGGATTTATTTATTTCACTGACGATAGTGTCTTCAAGGTTCATCCATGTTGCCGCCTGCGTCAGAAGTGCCTCTCTGTGTTTTTTTTGTTTTTTGTTTGTTCGTTTGACTTTGTTTTGTTTTGTGTTTCCATGGAGTCTCACTCTGTCGCACAGGCTGGAGTGCAGTGGCACAATCTGGGCTCACTGCAACCTCCGCTTCCTGGGTTCCAGAGATTCTTGTGCCTCAGCCTCCCGAGTAGCTGGGACTATAGGCACACACCACCACGCTCATCTCATTTTTTGCATTTTGAGTAGAGACAGGGTGTCACCAAGATGGCCAGGCTGGTCTTGAATTCCTGACCTCAGGTGATCCGTCCACCTCGGTCTTCCAAGACGCTGCGATTACAGGCGTGAGCCACCGCACCGGCCAGAAGTGTCTGCCTTTTCAAGGCTGAATAGTCTTCCATTGTATGAAGGAACTGCAGTGTGCTTTTTCATTCATCTGTCCACAAACCCTTGGGTTGCTTCCACATTTTGGCTGTTGTGAATAATGCTGCTATGAATATGGGTGTACACAAATCTGTCTTCCACTCCTGGCTTCTAATTCTTTTTGGTAGGTACCCACAAATGTAACTGCGGGAACATCTGATCATTCTAATTTTTCCAGTACATGCCATGCCATTTTCCCCATTCCTTCATGGTTTTACATTCCCTCCGATCATATTCGAGCATTCCTATTTCCCTCTAGTCTCTCCAATGCTTGTTTGTTTATCATATCCATCCTAATGTTTGGTAACACATTCTTGGTTTGATTTGCGCTTCCCTAGGATGAGTGATTTTGAACATCATTTTAGATGCTTATTGGCCATTGCAATATCTTCTTTAGGGACACGTCTACTTGAGTCTTCTGACCATTGTTGATGGGATGCTTTGGGTTTCTTGTTTAGTTCTAGCTGTTCTTTATATATGATGGATATCAACCTCTTTTCAGATATATGCTTTGCAAATATTTTTCCTAATTCATGGGTTATCTTTTCACTCAGTTCGCAGTGTTTTTTGCTGCACAAAAGTGTCTGTCATGTAGATGTAATCCAAGGAATATAATTTTCTTTGTTGCCTATGCTTTTGGTGTCATATCCCAGAGAACATTGCCCAATCTGATGTCATGAAAGCGTGGCCAATGTTTTCTTTAAGGCATATGACACTTTTAGCGCTTGGGGTGAGGTCTTTGATCCAGTTTGTGTGAATTTTTGCACCTGGTGTGACATAGGGTCCACCTTCATTCTTCTGCATGTGGAAATCAAGTTTCTCCAACACCATTTCTTGAAAAGGCTGCTTTTCCACCAATGAGCTTTCTTAGCACTCATGTGAAAAATCATTTGAACATATAGGTGGGAAGGTATTTCTGGGCTCCAAAACAAACAAACAACAATAGACAACAGATAAGGATACAGCATGGGCAGGGCGCGGTCGCTCACCCCTGTAATCCCAGCACTTTGGGAGGCCGAAGCTGGCAGGTCACCTGAGGTCAAGAGTTGAAGACCAGCCTGACCGACAGGGAGAAACCCCCGTCTCTACTAGAAATACAACATTAGCTGGGCGGGCTGGCACATGCCTGTAATCGCAGCTACTCGGGAGGTGGAGGCAGGAGAATCACTTGAACCCAGGAGGCAGAGGTTGCGGTGAGCCAAGATTGCACCATGACACTTCAGCCTGGGCAACAAGAGCGAAACTCCATCTCAAAACAAAAAAAAAAAACAAGCATGATTTCAAGAGCAGAAAGAGAAGAGCTTAAAAAGAAGCATAATGAGAAAGTTAGGAAGTTTCTTACCAAACCATCTGGAAATATGCAAGAAATTCTTGTGAACTAAAATTTTCATACTGTACTATCAAACGCTAGAACTCACTTATTCCATCTTTCTGTATTTCGGGACCCAATTATCCACTTGTCTTCATTCCCCATCCCACCCCTTTTCTTCGTAGCGCCTGCTAACCACGTTTATACTTTCCACCTTCCTCAGATTCCTTTTGTGTGTAGGTGTATGATGGAGTCTCTTTCTGTTGCCCAGGTTGGAGTACACAGGCACAATCCGGGCTCCCTGCAAGCTCCGCCTCCCGAGTTCAAGAGCTTCTTGGGCCTCCGCCCTCTGAGTAGCTGAGACTACAGGCACGCGTCACCAAGCCCGAGTAATTGTTTGTTTTTTCCGTAGAGACGGGGTTTCACCATGTTGGCCAAGCGGGTCTCGAACTCCTGGACTCAAGTGATCCGTGCGACTCGGCTTCCCACAGTGCTGGGATTACAGGCCTGAGCCACCACACCTGGCCAAGGTTTCCTTTTTTCTTCCTACGTAGAAGTGAGGACAGGAAATATTTGTCATTCTGTGCCGGGCTTCTTTCATTTAATATACAGACCTGCAATCTCATCCATTTTGTCTGCAGCAGAGAGGATGTTCTTCCTTTTTAGGCTGAATAATACTTCATTGGGTGTGTATACCACAGTTTCTTCATTGAAACAAATTTCTAAAAAGCACATATTTTTAAAGACTTGGAATGTGAAACTTCACGGATACTGTGCCTATTTTATTCTTTTCTATTTCCCATCTTATGTATATGCAAGTGTATAACAAAGCAGGAATCAATGTGTGTATAAATCTATAACTTCCACAAATGTAAAATGTAAATGCTAAGTGGTGGCTGGGCGCGGTAGCTCATGCCTGTAATCCCAGCATTTTGGGAGGCGGAAGCGGGCAGATCACCTGAGGTCGGGAGTTCAAGACCAGCCTGACCAAAATGGAGAAACACTGTCTCTATTAACAATACAAAAAAAAAAAAAAATAGCCAGGCCTGGTAGCGCATGCCTGTAATCCCAGCTACTTGGAAGGCTGAGACAGGAGAATTGCTTGAATACGGGAGGCAGAGGTTGCAGTGAGCCGAAACCGTGCCATTGAATTCCAGCCTGGGCATCAAGAGTGAAACTCTGACTCAAAAAAAAAGGAAAAGAAAGAAATAGAAAATGCGAAATGGTAACAAAAAACAGCATAATAAACATTTGTATGGTGTTGATGGACAATGCATTTGAACATAATATTTGAAGAAATCATATAACAATTAATTTCTATTCTTACTCATTGGAGCTTCATGCCTCTAAAAACTTCGTCATTGGAACCACCTCTGGGGCTTTAAAAGAAAAAAAAAAAATCCGCATACTCACACAGGTTCAAGGAAATCAGAATCTCAGGTATTGAGACCCAGGCCTCATCATGTGTAAGCTCCCCAGGTGATTTGACTCAAAGCCAAGATTGAGGAACGGCGACATGGATCTCTACACATAACCTGCCTAAATAGATTCTCTAGAAGCAGTTTGTAAAGTAATTCCACATGAACTGTGGAAGAGGATATGAATTTGATGTACAGTATGTCCTCACTTAACATCTTTGAAAGTCTCTTGGAAACTTCAACTTGAAGCAAAATTATGTATAGTGAAACCGCTTATTTTTCATCAACAGTATAACTACACAACTGTGAACAACCAATACTGTTGGAGGACCTCCTGTACATTGTTTCCATAAAGTCAGTTTTCAGGGAATTCCAAAACGAAGTGAGGACTTCGTGTATATAAAAAGATGGTAGTGATTCCACCTGGATGACAGGGTTATTGCTCAGAAACTAAAAGAGGCCGCCTAGGTAGAGAGGATTCTGTCATGAGGTTTCTGCTAAACAAAGGATCACAGAATCCTCACCCATTCCAGTTAAAGGCATAACGAAGAAAGCAATATTCACAAAGGAAATGCGGAAAGGAATAAAAGCCATCAAGCCACAAAAATAATGTGACTAAGGGGCAGGATTTGCAGATGTAGAGATTCAATGTGGTTGCCCTTTCTCACCCACACCAGAAAAAGGATGGAACAGATCATGAGATTCGACTGTTCTGCTGCGCAGCCTCCGCAGGGCACTTTGTATGTCCCTGTTTCTCAGGCTGTAGATGAAAAGGTTCAGCATGGGGGTGACCACAGCTTACATCACTGACACCACCACACCATTCCTGGGGGTTGGTGACATAGCTGAAGCCAGGTACATGTCAATGCCTGTTCCATAAAATCAGCAAACAAATGCTAGGTGAGAGCCATAGGTGGAGAAAGTTTTATACTTCCCATCTGACGATGACATCCTTAGAATGGAGGGGACAATTTTATAGTAAGATGAAAGGATCCCTGAAATAGGAAGAAAACCAAACATTGTACTATCGAAATATATGAATATGCTATTGATGACGCTGTCATAAGAGGCAAGTTTGAGAAGTTGAGAGGGGTCACAGACAAAATTAGAGATTTCCACATTCTTGATGATGGTGAATTGTAACACAATCCAACTGTGCAGCTGGGAATCCAACAGGCTAAGGAAAAAGGACACCAAAACAAAGAAGACACAGAGATGAGGATTCACGATGACTGGGTAGTGCAGAGGGCGATAGATGCCTACAAAGCAGTCATAGGCCATTACAGTCAGGAGCATGCCTTCTATACATGCAAAAAGGACCAAGAAAGACATCTGTGTCAGGCAGCCCGCATGAGAGATGACTCTGCTATACCACTGCATGTCCACAATCATCTTGGGAACCGTGGCCGAGGTGAAACCGATGTCAGCCCAGCACAGGATGGAGAGGAAGAAGTACGTGGGGGTGTGGAGGTGGGAGTCAGAGCTGACAGCCGGGATGCTGAGCAGGTTCCTCAGCACTGTGACCAGATACATGGACAGGGACAGGGACAGCAAAGCGAGGACCGGCTGCAGTTCTGGATCCTCTGAGAGTCCCAGGAGGAGGAATTCTCAGACACCTGTGAGATTCCGTGGCTCTGTGTGTCTTGGACACCTTGAGAAGGAAAGAGGATTGGAAAAATAAAAGATAAAAACCAGCCCTTAATGCTGGATGCAAGCAATTCACAAGGAACATCTTGACACTTGCGGACCATACACCGCCAGCAATGTTTCTCAGCTGTGACAATTCCAAAAATCTCAGAATTATTACATGATTTACTTTTTTGCTATACAAGGCTTTCTGTACACACTACTTTAGAGAAAATCCACTGGAGAATATTAGAAGACCGAAACGTCATATATAACAAATCCGTGATCTCAGTAAAATACGGCCTACTCTTTTCAGAAAAAATACAATGCAATGACAATGTCCTTCTCTCTTTAAGAAAAAGATCTCAGTCTAATTGAAAGAAATTAAGAAACCGTGAAATACACTCTACTTTATTCTGACACGGTGCTACAACTTCCATTGATGTAGAATATGTAAAAGGACGACTCAAGAGGTAGTACCCCATTATGTGAAAACGAAATCGAACCTTATAATTCTCAATCGGAAGACCTTTTCACATGCCTGTTACTTTTCATATTTATTATCATCCTTCGGTTTTCTGACATCATTTCTTCATAAAAGTACATGCACACTCAAAGATGGGAGCTGTGTTTCCAAATGAATAGAATCTAGAACTCTTGGCCCAGCACCATGGCTCACACCTGTAATCCCAGCACTTTGGGTGGCCGAGGCTGATGGATCACCTGAGGTCAGGAGTTCCAGACCAGCCTGGCCAACGTGGTGAAATCCCGTCTAGCCTGGCGTGGTAGCGGGTAATCCTAGCTACTCGGGAGGCTGAAGCAGGAGAATCCCTTAGAACCTGGAAGGCAGAGATTGCACACCCTGTGATAGGATTTTTGATATCCTAGGGAGATATTGCTCCTGAGAGTAGAGTGGGCGTACACCCTGTGATATTATTTGTAATATCCTAGAAAGATATTGCTCCTAATATCACCGTGGCTCTACACCCTGTGATCTTAATTGTAATATCCTACAGAGATATTACTTCTAATAATACAGTGGGTGTACACCCTGTGATATTATTCATAATATATTACAGAGATACGACTCCTGATATCACAGTGTGTGTACACCATGTTGGTACACCCTGTGATCATATTTGTAACAACTTAGAAAAATATTACAGCTAATATCAAAGTGGGTGTACACCCTGCGATGTTATTTGTTATCTACTAGGTAGATATTACTCCTAATATCACAGTGAGTGTACACCATGTGTGTACAGACTGTGAAATTATACATAATACCCTGGGAAGATATTACTCCTCATATCACAGTGGGTGTACACCGTGGGTGATTTTTTTTCCTAATATCCAGCGGGGGAGAGGATGATATTGCTTCCAATATCACAGAAGGTGTACAACCCCCTGTGATATTGTTCCTAATATCCAGGGAAGGAGAGGATGACATTATTTGCAATATCACTGGGGGTGTACCACCTCCCGCCGGGATATTGTTCTTAATATCCGGAGGTGGAGAGAATGTTACTCCCAATATCACAGGAGGTGTACACCACCCCTATTTGTAAACACCCCCTGTGATATTATTCCAAATGGCCTGTGAAAGAGTAACCATGACTCCCTTTATCGCAGGGGGTGTTCAGCCCTGATGATATTGTTTTCTAAAATCCACGGAAGGAGAGTATGCTATTACTCCCAATATCGAAGGGGTTGTACACCCTTTTGTGTTTTTGTGCCCAATATCCAGGAAAATAGAGGATGATATTACTCCCAATATCGAAGTAATCGTGCAGCACCCCTGTGATATTCTTCCTAATATCCAGAAAGGAAAAGAATGATATTACTCCCAACAGGGTAGGAAACGTATACCCGCGCTGTGATATCTTTCCCAGTATCCAGGTGGGGAGAGGATCATATTACTTCCAATGTCGCAGGGTGTGTACACCCCCTCTGTGATCTCGTTGCTAACATCCAGGTTTGGGGAGGACGACATTACTCCCAATATCGCAGGGGGAGTACACTTCCCCGTGACCATGTTAGTCATTTCCTGGGTGGACAGGGTGATCTCACTCCCAATATCGCAGGGGGGTGTACACACCCCTGTGAAAATCTTCCTTATATCCAGAGGGAGAGAGGATGATATTACTCCCAGTACCGCAGGGGGTTTACACAGCCCTGTGATACTCTTCCTAATATCCACAGGGAGAGAGGATGATATGACTCCCAATATCGCAGAGAGTGTACACAACCCTGTGATATTGTTCCTAATATCCAGAGCGAAAGAGGATGACATGACTCTCAATATCGCAGAGGGTGTACACCCCTCCTGTAATATTGTTCTGAATACCCTGGGAGGGAGAGGATAAGGTTACGTTGAATATCGCAGGGAATGTACACCCACCCCCTCTGATACTCTTCCTAATGTCCAGGGGAAGAGAGGAAAATTTCACTCCCAATATCACAGAGGCAGTACACCCCACCTGTGATGTTGTTCCCAATATGCAAGGGGGCAGAGGATGATACTACTCTCAATATCGCAGGGCTGTTCACATCCCCAGTGACATTTTTTCCTAATATCTACGGGAGAGACAATTCTATGACAGCAAAGGTCTCAGGGTCTGTACATCCCTTCCTGATATTGTACCTAATATCCAGGGGAGAAGAGGATGATAAAAAATATGAAAGGGGGTGTGCATCCCCCACCCCTACTATATTGTTCTTAATAATTGTGAGGGGAGACGATGATATTACTCCAAATATCGCAGGGTTTGTTCACAACCCCCTGTGATATTGTTTGTGATATCCAGGAGGGGAGAAAATCATATTACCTCCAATATTGCAGGTGGTGTATACCCCACCAGAAATATGGCACCGAATATCCAAAGAGGGAGAGGATGGTATTCATACCAATATCGAAGTGTGTGTACACGCCCCTTGTGATATGGTTTTTAATATCAGTGGGCGGGAGGATGATATTAGTCCCAACATCCCAGAGGGTGTACACTACCCCTGTGATATTGTCCCTAACTTCCAGAGGGGAGAGGATGATATCACTCCCAATATCTCAGAAGTTTTACATCCCCCGTGATATTGTTCGTCATATCCAGGGAGGCGCAGGATGACATTCCATTGAATTTCGCGACAGGCATACACGCACAGTGTGACATTGTTCCTAATATCCAAGAAGGCAGAGGATGATATTACTCCCAATAAAGCAGTGGGTGTACATCACCCTTGTGTTATTGTCTCTAATATCCGGGGCCGGGGGAGGTGGGGAGAGGATAACATTCCCTCAAATTTAGCAGGTGGTTTGACGCCCCTTGTGGTGTTGTTTTAAATATCCAGCGGGGAAGACAACAGTACTATTTTTGATAGTCAGATTCATCCGCTCCACCTTTCCAGAACTCTGAGGCCGGGAGGCGGCATGCAGTTTCCGTGTGATCCCCAATATCTTTGCCGTCTTCTGTACCAAGGCAGCCAAAAACGCAGGCCCGTTGTCTGAGCCGATCCGTAAGGGCGGTCGAAATCTAGGAATCACATCTCAAAGAAGCACAGTGGTTACTTCACGAGTTTTCTCAGTTCGTGTTGGATAGGCCTCCACCCACCCAGAGTAGGTACGCCCAAGAACTAGTACATACTTGTTACCTCCAAACATTGGCACCTCTGTGAAGTCCACCTGGAGACCTTCAAAGAGGGCTGCTCCCTAAGCTCATATGCCGGGCGGAACGGCTGGACCTTGCCTCGCATCATGCTGTCAGCAGGTAACACACCTCTGCCTCACCGTTATGGCAAGGGCTGACAGAGGCGAGATGTAGAAATACCAGCCTAACAAATTTCCAGTGACTCCTGACCTCAATGGGTGGTTTCTTGCACAGCCAGTACAACTGCAGCTCCTAGCAGCTGTGGCACAGCTAGTCTCCCATCTGGTAACCGAATCCATCCTTCCTCCATCACTTGTCCTTCCCTCTACCTGGAGAAAGTCCTTTTCTTCTTTAGAAGAAGTAGGTCCAAGATCAGGTGCTTGAGGGAACACTGATGCCCAGAAGGGGGCAGATGCTGCTTTTCGAACCTCTGAGTCAGAGTGGGAATTCCCCAAACCCAGCAAGATGGAAGCTCTCTGGTGTCCTCTGCAATGCATAACTGCCACCTTGTGGGGTTTCAATACTGCTTCTCATCATTGCAAGATTTCTTGTTGATATTTTCTGTCTTTTCCCCCAGAGTTCAGTAGGCCCTTTTCTATCATGCTCCATGCACTTGAAGAGTTGAAAAGACATACCGAGAATCAGTGTAAGTATTGACAGTCTCACACCCACTGAGTTCTAAGGCCCGAATGAAAGCAATGAGTTCAGCCTTCTGGGCTGAAGTGGTCTGGGGCAACGATCTGGCTTCAACAACAGGGTCCAGAGTTATCACTGCATACCCTGCACCTCTCTCTCCTTGGGGGTTGAAGAAGCTGCTCCCATACACGTATAGTTCCCAGTCTACTGATGCCCAAGCTTGGTCCCGGAGGTCAGGTCTGCTAGAGTCAACTGAATCCAACACTTCTACACAATCAGGCTCGACAGGGCTCTCTGATACCGGGAGCAAGGAGGCGGGGTGTAGGGTGTTGCAAACTTCAATGGTTATACAGGGATTTTCGCAGAGCAGTTTGGTACTTGGTGAGTCTGACATTCATTAGCCAATTGTGTCCTTTAGTATTCATTAAAGTCACCACAGCACGGGAGGCCTTTATGTTCAGGTTTTGCCCAAGAGTCAGCTTATTTGCTTCTTGTAGTGGCAGGGCAGTTGCTGCCAAGGCCCTCAAACAGGGGGGCCATCCTTTAGAAACCCCGTCTAGTTGTTTAGAGAGGTAGGTCACCGGCCTCAGCCAGGGCCCCACAGTTTGGGTTCAAAGTCCAGCTGCCATCTTTTCTCTCTCTGATGCATACAATGGAAAAGGCTTTGTCAGATCAGGTAGCCCCAGGGCTGGGGCTGCCAGAAGTTTTTCCTTTAACTCATGAAAGAGTTGCTGTTGTTGGGATCCACATTCCAAAGGTTCCCGGTCCCCGCCCCCTTGGTGACCTCATACAAAGGCTTAGCTAATACTGCAAAGTTTGGGATCCACAGTCTACAAAACCCCACAGCTCCTAAGAATTCTCTCACCTGCTTTCTGCTCTTAGGCTCAGCTAGATGGCAAATGACCTGCTTTCTTTCTGATCCTGGGCTGTGTTCCGACCCCTGTTGGATAGTCAATCCCAAGTAACTTACCTGCCATCGGCAGATCTGAGCTTTCTTCTTGCACACCTTCTACCCACAGTCCTCCAGGTGCCGGTGTAGGGCATCTGTTCCCTTGGCACACCCGACTGCCGTGGGGTGTCCCAGCAGAAGGTCATCAACATACTGGAGCAACACGCAGCCTAGGTCTCTGGTGGGAAACTTCTGGGGGTCTCGAGCCAACGCCTCCCTGAAGATGGTGGGGGAGTTCTTGAACCCTTGGGGAAGCCCGGTCCAAGTGTACTGAGTAGTGACACCTGACTCCGGATCTTCCCACTGAAAGGCAAACAGCTTCTGCCTCTCAGGGGCTAATCTGATAGGAAAGAAAGCGTCTTTCAGGTTCCAGAAGGTGAACCAGCTGTCTTCAGCTGGCGGCAACACCAATAATGTGGACGGGTTAGGTACTGTTGGATGTAAAGTCAGTGTAGCTTGATGGAGCAAGCGCAAATCCTGTACCGGCCGGTAGTCCTTGGTCCGTGGCTTGGGAACAGGCAGGAGGGGAGTGTTCCATGGAGACTGACAAGGAACAATAATTCCAAAAGTTCTTAGGTGCTTGAGACGCACCTGGATACCTTGAAGGGCTTCTCTGGGGACCAGGTCCTGTTTTCGCCTCACCGGCTGGGCCCCAGTCTTAACTGGCCAATCCCGGAGGGTTCTCTTCTGCCCGTACTCTTGGCCACCGCTTAGCCAGAGCTGGTCTTCTCTCTTGGCCTGGCTCAGTTAAGAAAACTCTCCATTCCTCATCTCCGGGGACCATAAGGGTCATAATGACTCCTGTTCCGGGTAACTTTAGCAGCAAAGAGCCGTGGTCTGTCAAACACATAGTGGCTCTCAGCTTGCTGAGCAAGTCCCTTCCCAAAAAGGTCAAGGGACAGTCAGGCATGTACCAAAACTGATGAATGACTTTATGTCCTCCTACAGTACAAGTCCGAGGCAAGCAGAAAGCTTGCTTTGCTGAAACCCCTGTGGCTCCGATGACATCAATAGTCTTTTTGGATAAGGGGGCGACCGGGGCGGTTACTAGCAAATGTTCAGCACCGCTATCTACAAGAAAGTCAATGTCTCCACCCCCAACTGTCATTCTGAGCAGAGGCTGTTTGGGTACGCTTGAGCCGGGTCTCCCTCAGTCCAAGAACCCTTCTGCCAGGTTGAGCAGGGCCCCTTCCTCCTTGTCCGGGGCCTCCTGCTCTGAGTCACCTTGTTTTCTTTTGAGCTGAGGGCATTTGTTCTTCCACTGTCCTATTTCTTTACAATGAGCACACTGGTTACACTGCAAACTCTGACAGCCAAGCTGAGTTTCTTTCCCAGGACCCCCCTTCCCTTGCCTCTTTGGGGGGGCCCCTCTGATTGCTGCAGCTGACAAACAGGTCGGCGTGTCGCCAGGCCTGACCTCCATTCTCTTTGCCGTTTTCCTTATGGCTTACTGTATCCTTGTTTACAAACACCTGGCTAGCTATTTCTGGTAATTGTGATGGATTCATCCCTGCAAGCCCAGCCTGTTTCTGCAGTTTTCTTCTCATGTCTTCTGCGCTTTGACGGACTAAAGCCATGTGAATCATGCGCTGATTTCAGGGCTATCAGGATCAAAGGGAGTATACATACGATAGGCCTCACACAATCTCTCGTAGAATTGTGCTGGACTTTCTTCTTCTCCCTGAATGACCTCAGAGAGCTTGTTAACATTTGTGGCCTTCTGAGCTCCCCTCATTAATCCTTCCAAGAGAGCTTCCCTGTCTCGGTTTAGCCTTTGCATCTCCTCTCTTTCATGTGGGTCCAACTGGGGGTCGGTTCCTGGCAACTGGGTCCTTCCATACTCTTGGGGGTTTTGATAATCAGCTGGTGCATGTTCCTCTAGCCACTTAGTTGCTGCTTGGAGGACTCTCCGCCTTTCTTCGCTGTTAAAGAGGAACATGAGCAACTGGCGCCAATCAGCCCAGGTGGGGTTGTGGGTCTGGATAACAGCTTGGAGCAAATCAGTTAGGGCTTGTGGCTTTTCGGTATAGGGCGGTGTATTGTTTTTCCAGTTGAGAAGGTCGACGCAGGTGAAGTGCTGGTACCAAAAAACATGCCTCTCTACCACGTGACCAACCTCATCTATCCCAGTCTACCGCTGCTCTCTCAGGGGCATCTGTGTCCCCGTTTAGGGTCATAAACGAGCTGCCGAGGGAGGGGTGTAATGGCGCAGGGCGACTTACGGCAATTAATAATCTCAATTATTAATTGACACTAATAATTATAAATATTAATAACCCATAATATAATTTTTAAAATCAATACCGATAATAATGATAACTGATATTAAATAGTTATACTAACGATAACAATACATGATTAATATTAATGATTAATGACGCCTGATATTAATAACTGATAATGATCTTATTCATTAGAAAACAGTAATATTAACTCCTAATAATTCATATTAATATTAATAATCTGAAAACTTTTTATTAGCAATTATTTCTTAATAATAATATTAATATCGGTCATTCATATTCCTGTTAATAATAAATGAGGAATAATTCATACAAATATTACGCAGTAATACCTCAGTGGGTGTACACCCAGCTGCGATATTGCTCCTAATGTCCAGGGAGGGAGAGAGCATGATATTAAGTTCAATATCGCAGTAGGTGTACACACAGCCCGTGATATTGATCCGAATATAATCTCCAGGGGGTGGAGTATGACGTTACTCCCAATATAGCACTGGGTGTGCATCCACCACCCGGTGATTTTGCTCCTAATATTCACGGAAGAAGAGAATGCTATTACTCCCAACATCGCAGGAAGTGTCCACCCCCGTGTAAGATAGTCCTTAAAAATATTCCAAGGCGGAGGGGGTGATATGACTACATATATGGCGGAAAGTGGACACCCCCAAGGATATCCTTCCCATGATCCTGGAAGGAAGAGGATAATATTACTTTCAATATCACAGAAGGTGGACTCGCCCCCAATGATATTGTTTCCAATTGCAACGTGGGAGAGAAAGACATGACACTCGATATCCCAGGGAGTAGAAACACCCCAGTGATACTGTTCCTAATATTCAGGCAGGAAGAGGATGATATGACTCCCGATACAGACAGGTGTACAACTTCTGTACACCCAGGGTGTACACAGGTCTGTGAAACAGTTCATAATCTGCAGAGGGGGAGATGATATTACTCACAATATGATAAACAGGCTGTGAGTCCACCGCGGATCCTAAGAGCCAGGCGGGCAAGAGGGACTGGCTCTTACTCCCCGCATCGCGGGGGGCGCCTCGCCCCCCTGCGATGGGGGTCCTAAGAGCCAGGCGGGCAAGAGGGGCTGGCTTTTACTCCCAGCTTCGCGGGGGGAGCCTCGCCCCCCTGCGATTTGGATCGTAATATCCGGCGCGGGGGAGAAGCGGGTGATATTACTCCCCGCATCGCGGGGGGCGCCTCGCCCCCCTGCGATTTGGATGGTAATATCTGGGGGGGAGAGGCGGGTGATATTACTCCACGCATCGCGGGGGGCGCTCTCTCCCCCCTGCGATGTGGCTCGTAATATCCAGGTGGCGAGAGGGGGTGATATTACTCCCTTTCTCCTAGTATGTTTTCTCTACTGCCACACTTGGTTAACACCCTGGGACATTATTTTCCATATTCTAGGAAGGTGTCACTGTTTAAGTTCCAGGGGGTATACACCCTGTGATATTATTCATGTTATTGTAGCGAAATGTGAATCCTGATATCACAATTCTCTACACACTCTGATATTATTCGCAATACCCTAGCGGGACGTTAATAATAATGTCACAGTGTGTGTACAGCTTGTGCTATGATTCTTAATCTCCTAAGGGGGGGTTGATTTTTTTGTCACACGGAGTATTTTCCCTGTGGTATGATTCGGAATATCCTGGAGGGATGTCACTCCTTATGTCACAGGGTTTGTATGCCTTTTCAAATTACTCGTATTACCCTTGTGAGATATCACTCCTCATATCACCGAGGGTATACACTCTGTGATATTATCGTCATATTCTAGGGAAATGTTGCTTTTAATGTCACAGATGTTGCTCACCTTGTGAAATTTTTCATTATAGTTTTCTGGGATGTGACTCCTAACGTCACACAGGGTGTACACACAGTGATATTACGTGTAATCTTCTATAGAAATGTTACTCGTAAATCACAGGTCCTGTACACCCTTTAATATTCTTCGTCATATTCTCGGAAAACGTGACTACTAATGTGTCAGGGCGTGGAGACCCTGTCAAAAAATTCGTAATATCCCAGCGGGAGTTCACTACTAATTTCACAATGCGTGTACACCCTTTGATATTGTTCGTATTATCCTAAAGAGATGTGACTCCTGATGTCCCAGTGCATGTACATTCTCTGATATTATTCGTTATATCCTCGGGGGATGTGACTTCTAATGTCACACGGCGTGTACTCCCTGTGTTCTATTTCATAATATCCTAGGGCAATTGTACTGTTAATGACACGGGGGTGTACACATTCTGATATTATTCATGATATTCTAGAAGGATGTTACTCCTAACGTCACAGGGGTGTACACCCTGTGATAGTATTCATAATTTCCCAGGGGTCTATACTCCTAATGTCACAGAAGATAGCACCCTATGACATTATTCGTAATATTCTGATGAGATGATTCTCCTAATATCACAGGGGGAGTACACCCTGTGATAGTATTCTTACTATTCTAGGGGGATGTCACTCTTAATGTCACAGGTGTGTTACTTCTGTGATATTATTGAAAATATGCTAGCTGGATACTACTACTAATGTCACAATGCGTGTACACCTTGTGATATTATTAGTAATATTCTGGGGGGATGTTACCCCTAACGTTACAGGGGGTGTACAGCCTTCGATATTATTTGTAATCTTATAGAGAGATATTACTTTCATGATCACAGTGGGTGTACACACATGGGCTACACCCACTGGGATATTATTTGTAATATCTGAGGGAGATATAACTCCTAATATCACAGTGGGTGTACCCCATGTGTGTACATCCTGTGATATTATTTGTAATATCCATGGTAAACACTACTTCTAGTATCCCACAGAGGGTACACCCTGTGATATTTTTCATAAAATCATAGGGAGATATTGCTTCTAATAACACAGTGGGTGTACACCATGTGTGTACACTCTGTGATGTGATAGCTTATATCCTAGGGAGATATTCCTTCTAATATCACAGTGAGTGTGCACCCTGTGATATCATTTGTAATCTCCTAGAAAGATGTTGCTGTTAATATCACAGAGGGTGTGCCCCCAGTGGCATCATTCGAAATATCCTAGGGAGATGTTACTCGTAATGTCACAGGAGTTGTACACCCTGTTATATTGTTGTAATATTCTAGGGGGGTTGTTACTTTTAAAGTCACAGGAGTGTACACTCTGTGATGTTATTCGTAATACCCTAGGAAGGGGTTACTCCTAATATCACATGGGTTATCCTAGGAAGAGGTTACTCCTAATATCACACCCTGTGATAGCATTCGGAATATCCAAAAGGGATGTTACTTTTAATGTCACATGGGGTGTACACCCTTTGATAATATTCGTAAGATCCTAGGGACAGATGACTTCAAATATCACTTTGGGTGTACACACATGGGGTACACATTGTGTGTGAACACCTCCTGTGATATTATCCATAATATCCTAGGAAAATGGGACTCCTAATATCACGGTCAGTGTACACCCTGTGATATTATTGGTAATATCCTAAAGAGATGTTACCACTAAGGTCACAATGTATGTACGCCCCCTGATATTATTCGTTATATCCTCGGGGGATGTTACTCCTAATGTCACATGGGGTGTACTCCCTGTGACATTATTCGTAATATCCTAGGGGGATGTTACTTTCAATGTTGCCGGGGGTGTATATCATGCATATTCAACGCCTGTGATACTTTTCCTAATATCCTAGGGGCATGTGCCTCCTAATGTCACATGGGGTGAACACCGTATGTGTACACCTGCTGTGGTATTATTCGTAATATCCTAGAGGAATATTACTGCTGATGGCACAGGAGATGTACACCATGTGTGTCAACCGCCTGTGTCATTATTCGTAATACCCTAGGGGGATGTTTCCTTGAATGGCACAAAGTGTGCGCAAAAGGTCACAGAAGGTGTACACCTTGTGATGTTATCTGCAATACCCTAGAAGGATGTTACTCCTAATATGTCACAAGGGTGTACATACTTTGATATTATTTGTAATCTCATAGAGAGATCTGAGTTCAAATGTCACAGTGGATGTTCACACATAGTGTATACCCTGTGATATTATTCGTAATATCCTAGGGAGATGCAACTCCTGATATCACAGTGCGTGTACCCGGTGTGTGTACACCCTTGATACGAGTCGTGATATCCAGGGTAAATATGACTCCTCATATCACACAGTGTGCACACCCTGTGATATTTTTCATAATATTTAAGGGAGATAGTGCTTCTAATATCACCGTGGGTGTACCCCATGTGTGTGTACTCTGTGACAGTATTTTTTATATCCTAGGGAGGTATTACTCTTAATGTCACAGTGGGGTGTTCACCCTGTGATATCATTCTTATTTGACCTTGCTGTCTTTGTTAACCCACCCTACAAAAGGAATGGAACAGATAAGAAGGTATTGAGATGAGACTGTGCTGCCTTGCGGCCGCCGCAGGACACTTTTAATATCCCCGTTTCTCAGGCTGTAGATGAAGGGGTTCAGCATGGGGGTGACCACCGTGTACATCACTGAGGCCACTGCACCCTTTCTCGGGGAAGATGACACATCTGAACCGAGGTACTCTCCAACGCCTGTTCCATAAAATCAGCAAACAACTGACAGGTGGGACCCTCAGGTGGAGAAGGTTTATACTTCCCACCTGATGATGAAACCCTCAGAATGGAGGAAACCATTTTACAGTAAGAGAAAAGGGTCCCCGAGATGGAAAGAAAACCAAATACGGCAGCAGGGAAATACATGCTGATGTTCCTGGTGAAGGTGTCACAACATGCAAGATGGGGGAGTTGAGAAGGTTCCCAGAAGAAATTAGGAATTTCCACATCCTTGAAGCAGGTCATTTGTAAGGCAATCAAGTTGTGCAGCTGGGAGTCTAAAAGACTGAGGGAAAAAAAAAAAAGACAACAAATCTAGGAAGCCACAGAAACACGGGTTCAAGATGGCTGAGCGATATAGAGGGTGACAGATGGCTACAAACCGGTCATAGGCCATCACACTCAGGAGCATGTCTCTCTTCCATGCCTCCAAAAATGGCAAAGAGAGACATCACAGTCAGGCAGCCTGCATAGATGACTCTGCTGTGAGACTGGATGTCCACAATCATCTTGGGGACCGTGGTGGAGGTGAAACCGATGTCAGGCAAGGACAGGTTGGAGAGGAAGAAGTACATGGGGGTGGGGAGGTGGGAGTCAGGGCTGACGTCCAGGATGATGAGCAGGTTCCCCAGCACCATGACGAGGCACATGGACAGGAACAGCCCAGCGACGACCGGTTGCAGTTCTGGATCCTCTGAGAGTTCGAGGAGGAGGAATATAGAGACATCTGTTATACTCTGTGGGTCTGTATCGTTTGGATACAACCCTCTTTTGCCTGGAAAAGATGGTTGCAAAATCGGAAACAAGTAAACCAATACTCAGCATTGTGTCTGCATTTTGGATATAAGCAATACACAAGTCATGTTTTCAGATTTCCGAGCAATCCACACTCCATAATATTTTGTAGTTCTGACAAGGTCAATTGCCTTATAATGCTTTCAACATCCATTGCTGTGTTATTCACGTCTTGCTGTACACACCTGCCTTAGAGACATTAGCTTCAAGAACGTTCCAAGAGCCAGATCATCATATATAGCACATTCGTAATTGCTAGAAAATACAGCCTATCTTTTCTGAAGAAAAAGATGTAATAAAACCATTGTCTTCACTTTAAGAAAAAGGTTATCCTAATTAAAGGAAATTAAGAACTCAAATATTTTATTTATTCTACTAGATTGATACAAATTCCCTTGATTTAGAACATTCGTAAACACTGTATAACAGCTGAGACCATGCCATCTGGAAATGAAATGAAAGTTGATAGTTCATAAGCAGAAAATAGTTCCACATGCCAGTTAGGTCCTAGTGATTTCATCATTCTGTTTTCGGACTTTTCTCCTTCGAGAGAGTAATTGCTTACTCAAATCGGTGGGTCTTGTTTTAAAATTCATGGAAGCTCTGACTCCTGTCCTTGGCTTAGGTGGACTTAGGTTTCATCAGAACGTTTGGCCGGATGCGGTGGCTCACGCCTGTAATCCCAGCACTTTGGGAGGCCGAGGAGAGCGGATCACGGGGTCAGGAGATCAAGACCATCCTGGCCAACATGGTGAAACCCCGCCTCTACTAAAAATACAAAAACTTCGCCCGGTATGGTGGCGCGCGCCTGTAGTCCCAGCTACTCGGGAGGCTGAGGCAGGAGAATGGCTTGAACCTGGGAGGCAGAGACTACAGTGAGCCGAAATCACACCACTGCACTCCAGCCTGGGCAACGAGAGCAAAACTCCGTCTCAAAAAACAAAAAACAAAAAGCATCAAGTAAGTCAAAGTCACGCTGATGACAGCCAATTTTGGTGAAGCAAGGAAGTGTCAATTCAATCATTAACATACATTTTGACTTTTGCTGTCTCCTAGGTGCCAAGCAAGATATAGGCTCTGGGGAATCAGAAACCAAAGAGACTCACTTGTTCCTCTCACAGTACTCAGTCCTTACTGAGAGAAGGACACAACAAAATGTCCTGTCTGGAATGCAGGGAAAGCAGAACTTCAGGTCAGGGGATATTTCCATTGAACTGTGTGGAGTTGAAGCTGAACATCTTAAGGAATGTATCTAAAATTCACTTTGCCTTTACTTTATGCATCCGTCACCTAGAGATCACGCAGCGGGCACCCACGATCGGCTTAATCATCACTCACTTCCATCGCATCCACTGGAAATCAAGTCAGATGAGAGTGCTGAGTCTCAGAGGATGGACGTCTCACCCCTTGCCATACAGAGAAGTAGAAAGCGTGGTATTCAAAATTCATGGCCAGACTCGAAGTCCCGGGTGCTATACTTCCTGGTCTTCCAACTCTCAAAAAGTTGTGGGTTTCTTTGGTTTTTGTTTTTGTTTTTGTTTTTGTTTTTGTTTTTGTTGTTTTGAGATGGAGTCTCGTTCCGTTGCCTAGGCTGGAGTGCAGTGGAGTGATCTCGGCTCACTGCAACCTCTGCATCCCAGGTTCAAGCTATTCTCCTGCCTCAGCCTGCCAAGTAGCTGAGATGACAGGCACCCGCCACTATGCCTGGCTCATTTTTTTCTATTTTGAGTAGAGACGTGGTTTCATCATGTTGGCCAGGCTGGTCTCGAATTCGTGACCTTGTGATTCGCCTGCCTCAGCCTCCCAAAGGGCTGGGATTACAGGCGTGAACCACCGCTCCCAGCTTCCAAAAGTTTTAAGCAGAGCTCAGAGGTCTTAACCACAAGCACATCAGAGGAGCATTTTTGAAACGCTTTCCAGCTTGCTCAATAGGAATGGAAGCCAAACTCCGAATTGATGACTCCTTTGAGGAAGTCGAGAGCTGTAAGGAAAGCCAGGAACAGGGGAAAGGGAGAGATGCGTCCTGAATGATCCTGTGCCAATTCTTTCTGGAATCCTCGATGTGATCTCAGCTGTCCTTTCCATACTTGACACAGTGATTGTACACCCACTGGTCTAGCTGTGGTCTACAAGGAACCCCCAAAGGGAAGGGCACAGTGAGGAGGGGCATCCACCTGAGTGATGAGAATTTGAGAGGGCAGGTTGGTTGCAGGGAAAGGACTGGCCAAATGTCATGTGTCTGGACTTAGACTGCCTGGTTCAAATTGGACTTCACCCTTTTTGACTTCATGATCTAGTACGAGTTATCTGAAAAGGCGTTGCTCCTTTTCTAGTCTGTAAAATCATCCTGAAGTGTGCACTAATAACGTGGAGACTAGGCAGATGAAATGAAACGAGCTGCATAGAGCACAGAGCTCAGAGCCTGGCCTTTAGGAAGCCCTCAGTAAGGGTTCATGATGCCATGGTGTCTGTCGTCATCCTCTTTATCCTCATCATCACCTTCATAATCTTTTTGTTGTTCTTAGGGAATAGTTTAGAGGGACTGATTGCCTGCTATCATGGGGGAGATGTCTATGAAAAGGACAACCAGTGGGGGAGGAAAGCAAAATTTTGAATAAGATTTCTGAGACCCCAAGAACAACCAAGAACAGAAACTGCACAGTCTGCTGAGCGGATAATTTGCACAGTGGTCTCCTCCCATCTGCCCACCGCACTCTCCTGTTTGTCCTGAGGAGGAGGAAACCAAACAAGGCTCCCGACCGTCCCTCAGCACTCACTTGAAGGGGTGGCCTGCCCCTCCACACCTGTGGGTATTTCTAGTCGGGTGGGATGAGAGACTGAGGAAAGAAATAAGACACAGAGACAAAGTATGGAGAAACAACAGTGAGCCCAGGTGACCGGCGCTCAGCATACCAAGGATCTGCACCGGCACTGGCCTCTGAGTTCCCTCAGTTTTTATTGATTATTATTTTTATTATTTTAGCAAAAAGGAATGTAGTAGGAGGGCAGGGTGATAATAAGGAGAAGGTCAGCAATGAAGATGTGAGCAATAGAATCTATGTCATCATGAAGTTCACGGGAAGGTACTATGACTGGACGTGTACATAAGCCAGATTTATGTTTCTCTCCACCCAAACATCTCAGTGGAGTAAAGAATAACAAGGCAGCATTGCTGCCAACATGTCTCACCTCCCACCATAGGGCGGTTTTTCCCCCATCTCAGAATTGAACAAATGTACAATCGGGTTTTATACCGAGACATTCAGTTCCCAGGGGGAGGCAGGAGACAGCGGCCTTCCTCTGTCTCAACTGCAAGAGGCTTTCCTCTTTGACTAATCCACCTCAGCACAGACCCTTTACTGGTGTCCGGCTCGGGGACGGTCAGGTCTTTCTCCTCCCACGAGGCCACTTTTCAGGCTATCACATGGGGAGAAACCTTGGACAATATGCCGCTTTCAAGGGCAGGGCTCCCTGCGTCTTTCCACAGTGTATTGTGCCCCTGGTTTATTGAGACTAGAGAATGGCGATGACTTTTATCAAGTCTACTGCTTGGAAACATCTTCTTAACAAGGCACGTCCTGCACAGCCCTAGATCCCTTAAACCTTGATTTCATACAACACATGTTTTTGTGAGCTTCAGGTTGGGTCAAAGTGGCTGGGGCAAAGCTACACATTAACAACATCTCAGCAAAGCGGTTGTTGAAAGTACAGGTCTTTCTCAAAATGGAGTCTCTTATGTCTTTCCTTTCTACATAGACACAGTAAGAGTCTGATCTCTTTTTCTTTTCCCTACACTCACTGAACTGCCCTTCCCCTCTGCTGGGCCATGACCACGGAGAACAGGTCCACTGTCCTCCCTGTGTGGTGCACCATGGAGGCTCAGACTCCGTTCTCAAGGCTGGCAAGAAGACAGGGTGAGACGTGAGCCTCCTGATACAAGTGACAGGATTGGAGCCCACAGGACTGGAACCTCACACTGCAGGGCTGGAGGCACAGACTGACTATTTACTATTCTGTGGCCTGGGGGGCTCAAGGCACAGAGCTCCTTATTAGCCAAAGTCACCCAAGTTCCCCAACCTCTAAGGATTTCCTCCTAATAATGCAAGAAGAAGAGAAAAGTGAGTGTCCATAGAAGCTTTGGGGCTCTTCCTCTAATCAGGAGAAAGCTGGTGTGTATTCTTCGCTTCTTTCTTTTCTTTTTAAACATCCAACTGCTTTAATTTTCATCTTTTATTATGGGAAAATATACCACGTATAAATATTAAAAATTATAAATATATATTAGTTCATATAGAACGGCCAGTATAAACCTTTACAGTTTCCACGCTTTTTCAGTTTACAGTTTCATGACATTAAGTACGTTCACATTGTTTAGCAACCATCACCGCCATCGTCTCCGGAACAGTTTTATCTTTCAAAATGGAAATTGCACCCATTCACCAAGCTCTCCACTCCTCTCTCTCGCCCACCCCTGGGGGCCACCTTTCTAGTTTGCAACTCTATGAGTTTAACTACTCTAGACACTTGATAGATAAGTGGAACCAAACCGTGTTTAATTTTTTTGTTTTGGAAACGGAGTCATTCTCTGTCACCCCGGCCGGAGTGCAGTGGCGTGATGTCCCCTCACTGCAACCTCCACATCGTGGGTTCAAGCGATTCTTGTGTCTCAGTCTCCCGAGTAGCTGGGATTACAAGCGCCTGCCACCACACCCAGCTAATTTTTGTATTTTTAATAGAGACCATATTGGCCAGGCTGGTCTCGAACTCCTGACCTGAAGTGATCCGCCTGGCTCAGCCTCCCAAAATGCTGGGGTTACAGGTGCGAGCCACTGAGCCTGGGCGTGTTTATCCTTTTGGGATTTATTTATTTCACTGACGATAATGTTTTCAAGGTTCATCCATGTTGCGGCCTGCGTCAGAAATGCCTCTCTGTTTTTTGTCTGTTTGTTCGTTTGACTTTGTTTTGTTTTGTGTTTCCATGGAGTCTCACTCTGTCGCACAGGCTGGAGTGTAGTGGCACAATCTGGGCTCACTGCAACCTCCGCCTCCCGGGTTCCAGCCATTCTCGTGCCTCAGCCTCCCGAGTAGTTGGGACTATAGGCACACGCCACCACGCTCGTCTCATTTTTTTGCATTTTGAGTAGAGACAGGGTTTCACCAAGATGGCCAGGCTGGTCTTGAATTCCTGACCTCAGGTGATCCGTCCACCTCGGTCTTCCAAGACGCTGCTATTACAGGCGTGAGCCACTGCACCGGCCAGAAGTGTCTGCCTTTTCAAGGCTGAATAGTCTTCTATTGTATGAAGGAACTGCAGTGTGCTTTTTCATTCATCTATCCACGAACCCTTGGGTTGCTTCCACATTTTGGCTGTTGTGAATAATGCTGCTATGAATATGGGTGTACACAAATCTGTCTTCCACTCCTGGCTTCTAATTCTTTTTGGTAGGTACCCACAAATGCAACTGCGGGAACATCTGATCATTCTGTTACTAATTTTTCCAGTAGACGCCATACTATTTTCCCCGTTCCTTCACGGTTTTACATTCCCTCTGATCATATCGAGCATTCCTACTTCCCTCTAGTCTCACCAATGCCTGTTTGTTTATCATATCCATCCTAATATGTGGTATCACATTCTTGGTTTGATTTGTGCTTCCCTAGGATGAGTGATGTTGAACATCATTTTAGATGCTTATTGGCCATTGCAATATCTTCTTTAGGAACACGTCTACTCGAGTCTTCTGACCATTGTTGATGGGATGCTTTAGGTTTCCTGTTGTTTAGTTCTAGCCATTCTTTATATGTGATGGATATCAGCCTCTTTTCAGATATGTGCTTTGCAAGTATTTTTCCTAATCCATGGGTTATCTTTTCACTCAGTTCGCAGTGTTTTTTGCTGCACAAAAGTGTCTGTCATATAGATGTAATCCAAGGAATATAATTTTCTTTTGTTGCCTATGCTTTTGGTGTCATATCCCAGAGAACATTGCCCAATCTGATGTCATGAAAGCGTGGCCAATGTTTTCTTTAAGGCGTATGACACTTTTAGCGCTTGGGGTGAGGTCTTTGATCCAGTTTGTGTGAATTTTTCCACCTGGTGTGACATAGGGTCCACCTTCATTCTTCTGCATGTGGAAATCAAGTTTCTCCAACACCATTTCTTGAAAAGGCTGCTTTTCCACCAATGGACTTTCTTAGCACTCATGTGAAAAATCATTTGAACATATAGGTGAGAAGTTATTTCTGGGCTCCAAAACAAACAAACAACAACAGACAACAGATAAGGATACAGCATGGGCCGGGCGCGGTTGCTCACGCCTGTAATCCCAACACTTTGGGAGGCCGAGGCGGGCGGATCACCTGAGGTCAGGAGTTGAAGACCAGCCTGACCGACAGGGAGAAACCCCCTTCTCTTCTAGAAACACAACATTAGCTGGGTGGGCTGGCGCATGCCTGTAATCGCAGCTACTCGGGAGGTGGAGGCAGGAGAATTGCTTGAACCCAGGAGGCAGAGGTTGCAGTGAGCCAAGATTGCACCATGACACTCCAGCCTGGGCAACAAGAGCGAAACTCCATCTCAAAACAAAAAACAAAAAACCAGCATGACTTCAAGAGCAGAAAGAGAAGAGATTAAAAACCAGCATAATGAGAAAGTTAGGAAGCTTCTTACCAAAACATCTGGAAATATGCAAGAAATTCTTGTGAACTAAAATTTTCATACTGTACTATCAAACGCTAGAACTCACTTATTCCATCTTTCTGTATTTCGGGACCCAATTATCCACTGGTCTTCATTCCCTATCCCACCCCTTTTCTTCCTAGCGTGTGCTAACCACCTTTATACTTTCCACCTTCTTGAGATTCCTTTTGTGTGTAGGTGTGTGATGGAGTCTCTTTCTGTTGCCCAGGTTGGAGTATACAGGCACAATCCGGGCTCACTGCAAGCTCCGCCTCCCGAGTTCAAGCGCTTCTTGGGCCTCAGCCCTCTGAGTAGCTGAGACTACAGGCACGCGTCACCACGCCTGGCTAATTGTTTGTGTTTTCCGTAGAGACGAGGTTTCACCATGTTGGCCAGGCGGGTCTCGAACTCCTGGACTCAAGTGATCCGTGCGACTCGGCCTCCCACAGTGCTGGGATTACAGGCCTGAGCCACCAAACCTGGCCAAGGTTTCCTTTTTTCTTTCTACATAGAAGTGAGGACAGGAAATATTTGTCATTCTGTGCCGGGCTTCTTTCATTTAATATACAGACCTGCAATCTCATCCATTTTGTCTGCAGCGGAGAGGAGTTTCTTCCTTTTTAGGCTGAATCATACTTCACTGGGTGTGTATACCACAATTTCTTCATTGAAACAAATTTTTGAAGGGCAAATATTTTTGAAATGTCTCGGAATGTGAAACTTCAGGGATACTGTGCCCATTTTATTCTTTTCTATTTCCCATCTTATGTATATGCAAGTGTATAACAAAGCAGGAATCAATGTGTGTATAAATCTATAACTTCAACAAATGTAAAATGTAAATGCTAAGTGGTGGCTGGGCGCGGTCGCTCATGCCTGTAATCCTAGCATTTTGGGAGGCGGAAGCGGGCGGATCACCTGAGGTCGGGAGTTCAAGACCAGCCTGACCAAAATGGAGAAACACTGTCTCTATTAACAATACAAAATAAATAAATAAATAAATAAAAATAAAATTAGCCAGGCATGGTAGCGCATGCCTGTAATCCCAGCTACTTGGAAGGCTGAGACAGAAGAATTGCTCGAATATGGGAGGCAGAGGTTGCAGTGAGCCGAGACCGTGCCATTGAACTCCAGCCTGGGCAACAAGAGCGAAACTCTGACTCAAAAAAAAGGAAAAGAAAGAAATAGAAAATGCGAAATGGTAAGAAAAAACAGCATAATAAACATTTGTATGGTGTTGATGGACAATGCTTTTGAAGATAATATTTGAAGAAAGCATATTACAATTAATTTCTCTTCTTACTCATTGGAGCTTCATGCCTCTAAAAACTTCGTGGTTGGAACCACCTCTGGTGCTTTAAAAGAAAAAAAGAAATCCACGTACTCACACAGGTGCAAGGAAATCAGAATCTAGGGTATTGAGACCCAGGCCTCATCATGTGTAAGCTCCCCAGGTGATTTGACTCAAAGCCAAGATTGAGGAACAGCGACATGGATCTCTACACATACCCTGCCTAAATAGATTCTCTAGAAGCAGTTTATAAAGAAATTCCACAGGAACTCTGGAAGAGGATATGAATTTGATGTACAGTATGTCCTCACTTAACATCTTTGAAAGTCTCTTGGAAACTTCAACTTGAAGCAAAATTATGTATAGTGAAACCGCTTATTTTTCATCAACAGTATAACTACACAACTTTGAACAACCAACGGTGTTGGAGGACCTCCTGTACATTGTTTCCATAAAGTCAGTTTTCAGGGAATTCCAAAACGAAGTGAGGACTTCGTGTATATAAAAAGATGGTAGTGATTCCACCTGGATGACAGGGTTATTGCTCAGAAACTAAAAGAGGCCGCCTAGGTAGAGAGGATTCTGTCATGAGGTTTCTGCTAAACAAAGGATCCCAGAATCCTCACCCATTCCAGTTAAAGGCATAACGAAGAAAGCAATATTCACAAAGGAAATGCAGAAAGGAATAAAAGCCATCAAGCCACAAAAATAATGTGACTAAGGGGCAGGATTTGCAGATGTAGGGATTGAATGTGGTTGCCCTTTCTCACCCACACCAGAAAAAGGATGGAACAGATCATGAGATTCGACTGTTCTGCTGCGCAGCCTCCGCAGGGCACTTTGTATGTCCCTGTTTCTCAGGCTGTAGATGAAAAGGTTCAGCATGGGGGTGACCACAGCTTACATCACTGACACCACCACACCATTCCTGAGGGGTGGTGCCACAGCTGAAGTCAGGTACACGCCAATGCCTGTTCCATCAAATCAGCAAAAAACTGCTAGGTGAGAGCCATAGGTGGAGAAGGCTTTATACTTCCCATCTGACGATGAAATCCTTAGAATGGAGGGGACGATTTTATAGTAAGACAAAAGGATCCCTGAAATGGGAAGAAAACCAAACATAGTACTACCAAAATATATGAAGATGCTATTGATGACGCTGTCAGAACAGGCAAGTTTGAGAAGTTGAGAGGGGTCACAGACAAAATTAGAGATTTCCACATTCTTGATGATGGTGAATTGTAACACAATCCAACTGTGCAGCTGGGAATCCAACAGGCTAAGGAAAAAGGACACCAAAACAAAGAAGACACAGAGATGAGGATTCACGATGACTGGGTAGTGCAGAGGGCGACAGATGCCTACAAAGCAGTCATAGGCCATCACAGTCAGGAGCATGCCTTCTATACATGCAAAAAGGACCAAGAAAGACATCTGTGTCAGGCAGCCCGCATGAGAGATGACTCTGCTATACCACTGCATGTCCACAATCATCTTGGGAACTGTGGCTGAGGTGAAACCGATGTCAGCCCAGCACAGGATGGAGAGGAAGAAGTACATGGTTGTGTGGAGCGGGGACTCAGAGCGGACAGCCAGGATGCTCAGCAAGTTCCTCAGCACCGTGACCAGATACATGGACAGGGACAGGGACAGCAAAGCGAGGACTGGCTGCAGTTCTGGATCCTCTGAGAGTCCCAGGAGGAGGAATTCTCAGACACCTGTGAGATTCCGTGGCTCTGTGTGTCTTGGACACCTTGAGAAGGAAAGAGGATTGGAAAAATAAAAGATAAAAACCAGCCCTTAATGCTGGATGCAAGCAATTCACAAGGAACATCTTCACACTTGCGGACCATACACCGCCAGCAATGTTTCTCAGCTGTGACAATTCCAAAAATCTCAGAATTATTACGTGATTTACTTTTTTGCTGTACAAGGCTTTCTGTACATACTACTTTAGAGAAAATCCACTGAAAAATGTTAGAAGACCGAAACGTCATATATAACAAATCCGTGATCTCAGTAAAATACGGCCTACTCTTTTCAGAAAAAATACAATGCAATGACAATGTCCTTCTCTCTTTAAGAAAAAGATCTCAGTCTAATTGAAAGAAATTGAGAAGCCGTGAAATACACTCTACTTTATTCTGACACCGTGCCACAATTTCCTTTGGTGTAGAATATGTAAAAGGACGACACAAGAGCTAGGACCCCATTATCTGAAAACGACATCGAACCTTATAGTTCTCAATCGGAAGAACTTTTCACATGCCTGTTACTTTTCATATTTATTATCATCCTTCGGTTTTCTGACATCATTTCTTCATAAAAGTACATGCACACTCAAAGATGGGAGCTGTGTTTCCAAATGAATTGAATATAGAACTCTTGGCCAAGCACCATGGCTCACACCTGTAATCCCAGCACTTTGGGTGGCCGAGGCTGATGGATCACCTGAGGTCAGGAGTTCCAGACCAGCCTGGCCAACGTGGTGAAACCCCGTTTCCAGTGAAAATTAAAAAAAAAAAATCAGCCGGGCGTAGTGGCGGGTAACCCTAGCTACTCGGGAGGCTGAAGCAGGAGAATCCCTTAGAACCTGGAAGGCAGAGATTGCACACCCTGTGATAGGATTTTTGATATCCTAGGGAGATATTCCTCCTGACAGCAGAGTGGGCGTACACTCTGTGATATTATTTGTAATATCCTAGAAAAATATTGCTCCTAATATCACCGTGGCTCTACACCCTGTGATCTTAATTGTAATATCCTACAGAGATATTACTTCTAATAATACAGTGGGTGTACACCCTGTGATATTATTCATAATATATTACAGAGATACGACTCCTGATATCACAGTGAATGTAAACCATGTTTGTACACCCTGTGATCTTATTTGTAACAACTTAGAAAAATATTACAGCTAATGTCAAAGTGGGTGTACACCCTGCGATGTTATTTGTTATCTACTAGGTAGATATTACTCCTAATATCACAGTGAGTGTACACCATGTGTGTACAGACTGTGAAATTATTCGTAGTACCCTAGGAAGATATTACTCCTCATATTACAGTGGGTGTACACCGTGAGTGATATTTTTTTCTAATATCCAGCGGGGGAGAGGATGATATTGCTTCCAATATCACAGAAGGTGTACACCCCCCTGTGATATTGTTCCTAATATCCAGGGAAGGAGAGGATGACATTATTCGCAATATCACTGGGGGTGTACCACCTCCCGCCGGGATATTGTTCTTAATATCCGGAGGTGGAGAGAATGATGTTACTCCCAATATCACAGGGGGTGTACACCACCCCTGTTTGTAAACACCCCCTGTGATATTAATCCAAATGGCCTGTGAAAGAGTAAACATGACTCCCATTATCGTGGGGGGTGTTCAGCCCTGATGATATTGTTTTCTGACATCCAGGGAAGGAGAGTATGCTACTACTCCCAATATCGCTCGGGTTGTACACCCTTTTGTGTTTTTGTGCGCAATATCCAGGAAAATAGAGCATGATATTACTGCCGATATCAAAGTAATTGTACAGCACCCCGTGATATTCTTCCTAATATCCAGAAAGGAAAAGAATGATATTACTCCCAACAGCGTAGGAAAGGTTTGCCCGCGCTGTGGTATCTTTCCCAGTATCCAGGTGGGGAGAGGATCATATTACTTCCAATGTCGCAGGGTGTGTACACCCCCTCTGTGATCTCGTTGCTAACATCCAGGTTTGGGGAGGACGACATTACTCCCAATATCGCAGGGGGAGTACACTTCCCCGTGACCTTGTTAGTCATTTCCTGGGTGGACAGGATGATCTCACTCCCAATATTGCAGGGGGTGTACACGCCCCTGTGAAAATCTTCCTATTTCCAGAGGGAGAGAGGATGGTATTACTCCCAGTACTGCAGGGGGTTTACACAGCCCTGTGATACTCTTCCTAATATCCACAGGGAGAGAGCATGATATGACTCCCAATATCGCAGGGAGTGTACTCAACCCTGTGATATTGTTCCTAATATCCAGAGCGAAAGAGGATGACATGACTCTCAATATCGCAGAGGGTGTACACCCCTCCTGTAATATTGTTCTGAATACCCTGTGAGGCAGAGGATAAGGTTACGTTGAATATCGCAGGGAATGTACACCCTCCCCCTCTGATACCCTTCCTAATGTCCAGGGGAAGAGAGGAAAATTTCACTCCCAATATCACAGAGGCAGTACACCCTACCTGTGATGTTGTTCCCAATATACAAGGGGGGAGAGGATGATACTACTCTCAATATCGCAGGGCTGTTCACATCCCCAGTGACATTTTTTCCTAATATCTAGGGGAGAGACAATTATATGACAGCAAAGGTCGCAGGGTCTGTACATTCCTTCCTGATATTGCTCCTAATATCCAGGGGGGAAGAGGATGATATCAAATATGAAAAGGGGTGTGCATCCCCCATCCCTACCATATTGTTCTTAGTAATTGTGAGGGGAGACGATGATATTGCTCCAAGTATCGCAGGGGTTGTTCACAACCCCCTGTGATATTGTTTGTGATATCCAGGGGGGGAGAAAATCATATTACCTCCAATATTGCAGGTGGTGTATACCCCACCAGAAATATGGCACCGAATATCCAAAGAGGGAGAGGATGGTATTCATACCAATATCGAAGTGTGTGTACACGCCCCTTGTGATATGGTTTTTAATATCCAGTGGGCGGGAGGATGATATTAGTCCCAACATCCCAGAGGGTGTACACTACCCCTGTGATATTGTCCCTAACTTTCAGAGGGGAGAGGATGATATCACTCCCAATATCTCAGAAGTTGTACATCCCCCGTGATATTGTTCGTCATATCCAGGGAGGCGCAGGATGACATTTCATTGAATTTCGCGACAGGCGTACACGCACAGTGTGATATTGTTCCTAATATCCAAGAAGGCAGAGGATGATATTACTCCCAATAAAGCAGTGGGTGTACATCACCCCTGTGTTATTGTCTCTAATATCCGGGGCTGGGGGAGGTGGGGAGAGGATAACATTCCCTCAAATTTAGCAGGTGGTTTGACGCCCCTTGTGGTGTTGTTTTAAATATCCAGCAGGGAAGACAATAGTACTATTTTTGATAGTCCGATTCATCCACTCCACCTTTCCGGAACTCTGAGGCCGGGAGGTGGCATGCAGTTTCCGTGTGATCCCCAATACCTTTGCCGTCTTCTGTACCAAGGCAGCCAAAAATGCAGGCCCGTTGTCTGAGCCGATCCATAAGGGCGGTCGAAATCTAGGAATCAGATCCCGAAGAAGCACAGGGGTTACTTCACGAGCTTTCTCAGTTCGTGTTGGATAGGCCTCCACCCACCCAGAGTAGGTACGCCCAAGAACTAGTACATACTTGTTACCTCCACACTTTGGCATCTCTCTGAAGTCCACCTGGAGACCTTCAAAGGGGGCTGCTCCATAAGCTCGTATGCCGTGTGGAACGGCTGGACCTTGCCTCGCATCATGCTGTCGGCAGGTAACACACCGCTGCCTCACCGTTTTGGCAAGGGCTGACAGAGGCGAGATGAAGAAATACCAGCCTAACAACTTTTCCAGTGACTCCTGACCTCGATGGGTGGTTTCTTACACAGCCAGTACAACTGCAGCTCCTAGCAGCTGTGGCACAGCTAGTCTCCCATCTGGTAACCGAATCCATCCTTCCTCCATCACTTGTCCTTCCCTCTACCTGGAGAAAGTCCTTTTCTTCTTTAGAAGAAGTAGGTCCAAGATCAGGTGCTTGAGGGAGCACTGATGCCCGGAAGGGGGCAGATGCTGCTTTTTGAGCCTCTGAGTCAGCGCGAGAATTCCCCAAACCCAGCAAGGTGGAAGCTCGCTGGTGTCCTCTGCAATGCATAACTGCCACCTTGTGGGGTTTCCATACTGCTTCTAATCATTGCAAGATTTCTTGTTGATATTTTCTGTCTTTTACCCCAGAGTTCAGTAGGCCCTTTTCTTTCTATCATGCTCCATGCACTTGAAGGGTTGAAAAGACATACCAAGAATCAGTGTAAATGTTGACAGTCTCACCCTCACTGAGTTCTAAGGCACGAATGAAAGCAATGAGTTCAGCTTTCTGGGCTGAAGTGGCCTGGGGCAAGGATCTGGCTTCAAAAACAGTGTCCAGGGTTATCACTGCATACCCTGCACCTCTCTCTCTCCTTGGGGGTTGAAGAAGCTGCTCCCATACACGTATAGTTTCCAGTCTCCTGATGCCCAAGCTTGGTCCCGGAGGTCAGGTCTGCTAGAGTCAACTGAATCCAACACTTCTACACAATCAGGCTCGACAGTGCTCTCTGATACCGGGAGCAAGGAGGCGGGGTGTAGGGTGTTACAAACTTCAATGGTTATACGGGGATTCTCACAGAGCAAAGTTTGGTACTTGATGAGTCTGGCATCCGTTAGCCAATGATGTCCTTTAGTATTCATTAAAGTCACCACAGCACGGGAGGCCTTTATGTTCAGGTTTTGCCCAAGAGTCAGCTTATTTGCTTCTTGTACTAGCAGGGCAGTTGCTGCCAAGGCCCTCAAACAGGGGGGCCATCCTTTAGAAACCCCATCTAGTTGTTTAGAGAGGTAGGCCACCAGTCTCAGCCAGG
Organism: Homo sapiens; assembly: GCF_000001405.40. Classification (NCBI taxonomy): domain Eukaryota; kingdom Metazoa; phylum Chordata; class Mammalia; order Primates; family Hominidae; genus Homo; species Homo sapiens. The sequence continues at coordinate 54,122 of NT_187537.1, read as the reverse complement.
GCCCCACAGTTTGGGTTCAAAGTCCAGCTGCCATCTTTTCTCTCTCTGATGCACACAATGGAAAAGGCTTTCTCAGTTCTGGTAACCCCAGGGCTGGGGCTGCCAGAAGTTTTTCCTTTAACTCATGAAAGACTTGCTGTTGTTGGGATCCACATTCCAAAGGTTCCCGGTCCCCGCCCCTTTTGTGACCTCATACAAAGGCTTGGCTAATACTGCAAAGTTTGGGATCCACAGTCTACAAAACCCCACAGCTCCTAAGAATTCTCTCACCTGCCTCCTGCTCTTAGGCTCCGCTAGATTGCAAATGACCTGCTTTCTTTCTGATCCTGGACTGCGTTCCGACCCCTGTCGGATAGTCAAACCCAAGTAACTTACCTGCCGTCGGCAGATCTGAGCTTTCTTCTTGGACACCTTCTACCCACAGTCCTCCAGGTGCCGGTGTAGGGCATCTGTTCCCTTGGCACACCCGACTGCCGTGGGGTGTCCCAGCAGAAGGTCATCAACCTACTGGAGCAACACGCAGCCTAGGTCTCTGCTGGGAAACTTCTGGGGGTCTCGAGCCAACGCCTCCCCGAAGATGGTGGGGGAGTTCTTGAACCCTTGGGGAAGCCCGGTCCAAGTGTACTGAGTAGTGACACCTGACTCCGGATCTTCCCACTGAAAGGCAAACAGCTTCTGCCTCTCAGGGGCTAATCTGATAGGAAAGAAAGCGTCTTTCAGGTCCAAGCAGGTGAACCAGCTGTCCTCAGCCGGCAGCAACCCCAACAATGTGGACGGGTTAGGTACTGTTGGATGTAAAGTCAGTGTAGCTTGATGAAGCAAGGGCAAATCCTGTACCGGCCGGTAGTCCTTGGTCCGTGGCTTGGGAACAGGCAGGAGGAGAGTGTTCCATGGAGACTGACAAGGAACAATAATTCCAAAAGTTCTTAGGTGCTTGAGACGGACCTGGATACCTTGAAGGGCTTCTCTGGGGACCGGGTCCTGTTTTTGCCTCACCGGCTGGGCCCCAGTCTTAACTGGCCAATCCCGGAGGGTTCTCTTCTGCCCGTACTCTTGGCCACCGCTTAGCCAGAGCTGGTCTTCTCTCTTGGCCTGGCTCAGTTAAGAAAACTCTCCATTCCTCGTCTCCGGGGACCATAAGTGTCATAATGACTCCTGTTCCAGGTAACTTTAGCAGCAAAGAGCCGTGGTCTGTCAAACACATAGTGGCTCTCAGCTTGCTGAGCAAGTCCCTTCCCAAAAAGGTCAAGGGACAGTCAGGCATGTACCAAAACTGATGAATGACTTTATGTCCTCCTACAGTACAAGTCCGAGGCAAGCAGAAAGCTTGCTTTGCTGAAACCCATGTGGCTCCGATGACATCAATAGTCTTTTTGGATAAGGGGGCGACCGGGGCGGTTCCTAGCAAATGTTCAGCACCGCTATCTACAAGAAAGTCAATGTCTCCACCCCCAACTGTCATTCTGAGCAGAGGCTGTTTGGGTACGCTTGAGCCCGGTCTCCCTCAGTCCAAGAACCCTTCTGCCAGGTTGAGCAGGGCCCCTTCCTCCTTGTCCGGGGCCTCCTGCTCTGAGTCACCTTGTTTTCTTTTGAGCTGAGGGCATTTGTTCTTCCACTGTCCTATTTCTTTACAATGAGCACACTGGTTACACTGCAAACTCTGACAGCCAAGCTGAGTTTCTTTCCCAGGGCCCCCCTTCCCTTGCCTCTTTGGGGGGGCCCCTCTGATTGCTGCAGCTGACAAACAGGTCAGCGTGTCACCGGGCCTGACCTCCATTCTCTTTGCCGTTTTCCTTAGGGCTTACTGCATCCCTGTTTACAAACATCTGGCTAGCTATTTCTAGTAATTGTGATGGATTCATCCCTGCAAGCCCAGCCTGTTTCTGCAGTTTTCTTCTCATGTCTTCTGCGCTTTGACGGACTAAAGCCATGTGAATCATGCGCTGATTTTCAGGGCTATCGGGATCAAAGGGAGTATACATACGATAGGCCTCACACAGTCTCTCGTCGAATTGTGCTGGACTTTCTTCTTTTCCCTGAATGACCTCAGAGAGCTTGTTAATGTTTGTGGCCTTCTGAGCTCCCCTCTTGAATCCTTCCAAGAGAGCTTCCCTGTCTCGGTTTAGCCTTTGCAACTCCTCTCTTTCATGTGGGTCCAACTGGGGGTCGGTTCCTGGCAACTGGGTCCTTCCATACTCTTGGGGGTTTTGATAATCAGCTGGTGCATGTTCCTCTAGCCACTTAGTTCCTGCTTGCAGGACTCTCCGCCTTTCTTCGCTGTTAAAGAGGAACATGAGCAACTGGTGCCAATCAGCCCAGGTGGGGTTGTGGGTCTGGATAACAGCTTGGAGCAAATCAATTAGGGCTTGTGGCTTTTCGGTATAGGGCGGTGTATTGTTTTTCCAGTTGAGAAGGTCGACGCAGGTGAAGTGCTGGTACCCAAAAACATGCCTCTCTACCACGTGACCATCCTCGTCTATCCCAGTATACCGCTGCTCTCTCAGGGGCATTTGTGTCCCCGTTTTGGGTCGTAAACGAGCTGCCGAGGGAGGGGTGGAATGGCGCAAGGCGACTTACCGCAATTAATAATCTCAATTATTAATAGACACTAATAATTATCAATATTAATAACCCATAATATAATTTTTAAAATCAATAACGATAATAATAATTACTATTAAATAGTTATACTAACGGAAAAAATAAATGATTAATATTAATGATTAATGACATCTGATATTAATAACTGATACTGATCTTATTCATTAGAAAACAGTAAAGATTAGCTCCTAATAATTAATATTAATATTAATAATGGGACACTTTTATTAGCAATTATTTCTTAATATTAATATTAATATCGGTCATTCATATTCCTGTTAATAATAAATGAGGAATAATTCATACTAATATTACGCCCTAACACCTCAGGGGGTGTACACCCACCTGTGATAGTGCTCCCAATGTCCAGGGAGGGAGAGAGCATGATATTACGTTCAATATCGCAGTAGGTGTACACACAGCCGGTGATATTGATCCGAATATCACCGAATAATCTCCAGGGGGTGGAGTATGACCTTCCTCCCAATATAGCACTGGATGTGCATCCACCCGGTGAATTTGCTCCTAATATTCACGGAAGAAGAGAATGCCATTACTCCCAACATCACAGGAAGTGTCCACCCCCGTGTAAGATGGTCCTTAAAAATATTCCAAGGCGGAGGAGGTGCTATGACTACATGTATGGCAGAGAGTGGACACCCCCAAGGATATCCTTCCCATGATCCTGGAAGGAAGAGGATAATATTACTTTCAAAATCACAGAAGGTGGACACGCCCCCAATGATATTGTTTCTAATTGCAACGTGGGAGAGGAGGACATGACACCCGATATCCCAGAGAGTAGAAACCCCCCTGAGATACTGTTCCTAATATTCAGGGAGGAAGAGGATGATATGACTCCCGATACAGACGGGTGTACAACCTCTGTACACAAAGGGTGTACACCGGTCTGTGAAACGGTTCATAATCTCCAGAGGGGGAGATGATATTACTCACAATATGATAAACAGGCTGTGAGTCTACCGCGGATCCTAAGAGCCAGGGGGGCAAGAGGGGCTGGCTCTGACTCCCTGCATAGCGGGGGGCGCCTCGCCCCCCTGCGATGGGGGTCCTAAGAGCCAGGGGGGCAAGAGGGGCTGGCTCTGACTCCCCACATCGCGGGGGGCGCCTCGCCCCCCTGCGATGTCCATCGTCATATCCAGGGGCGAGGGGGTGGTGATAAGCCTGCCCGCATCTCGGGGGCGCCCGCCCCCCTTCCATGTTGATCGTCATATCCCAGGGGAGAGAGTGGGGTGATATTACTTCCCATGTCTCTGGACGCGGCCGCCGCCCTGCGATGGGGATCGTCACATCCAGCTGTGGATCGGGGGGTGGTATTACTCTCCGATTTGTCCTAGGATCCTTTCTATACTGCCCCCCTCTGTTCACACCCTGGGACGTTATCTTCCATATTCTAGCAATATGCGGCTGCTAAAGTCGCAGGGGGTATACACCCTTCAATATTATTCGTAATTTTGTAGGGGAATGTTCAACCTGATGTCACAGGACTCTGTACACTGTGATGTTATTCCCAATATCCTAGTTTTACTTTAATAATAATGTCACATTGTGTGTACACCTTGTGGTGTTATTCTTATTCTCCTAAGGGGAGGTTGCTTTTATTGTCACACGAGGTATGTTCCTTTTGATATTATTCATAATGTCCTAGAGGGGTGTCACTCCTTCTGTCACAGGGTTTGTACACCTTTTCAAATTACTCGTATTATCCCCATAAGATGTCACTCCTCATTTCACAGAGGGTGTACACCCTGTGAGATTGTCGTCATATTCTAGGGAAATGTTATTTTTAGTGTCACAGAGGGTGCACACCTTGTGAAATTATTCGCTATAATTTTGTGGGATGTTACCCCTAATGTCAGACGGCGTGTACACACAGTGATGTTATGTGCAATATGCTATGGAAATGTTACTCGTAATTCACAGTTCCTGTACACCCTTTAATATTCTTCGTATTCTTCTAGGAAAACGTTACTGCTAATATCACAGGGTGTGTAGACCCTGTCATAAAATTCCTAATATCCTAGTGGGAGTTCACTACTAATTTCACAATGCGTGTACACCCTTTGATATTATTCGTATTGTCCTGAAGAGATGTTACTACTGATGTCCCAATGCAGGTACATTCTCTGATCTTATTGGTTATATCCTCGGGGGGTGTTACTTCTAATGTCACACGGGGTATACTCCCTGTGTTCGATTTTGTAATATCCTAGGGCAATTTTACTTTTAATGACACAGGGGGTGTACACATTGTGATATTATTCGTGATATTCTAGAAAGATGTTATTCCTACTGTCACAGGGCTGTACACCCTGTGATACTATTCATAATTTCCCAGGGGTCTATACCCCTATTGGCACAGGCGATAACACCCTGTGACATTATTCGTAATATTCTAGTGAGATGATACTCCTGATGTCACAGGGGGTGTACACCCCTTGTTATTATTCTTACTATTCTAGGGGGATGTTACTCCTAATGTCACAGGGATGTACACCCTGTGATATTATTCATAGTGTACCAGAGGGATATTTGCAGTAATGTCACAATGCGTGTACACCTTGTGATATTATTTGTCATATCCTAATGTCACAGGGGCTGTGTTCCGTGTGATAGTCTTCCTAACATCCTAGAAGGATATTGCTCCTAAGGTCACAGGGTGTGTACACCTTGTCACATCATTCATAATATCCTAAAACTATGTTATTCCTCAGGTCACAGGGGGTGTTCACCCTGTGATATTTTTCGTCATAGTTTTGTGGGATGTTACTCCTAAAGTCACACGGGGTGTACACAGAGTCACACAATGATATGAGTTGTAATATTCTATAGACATGTTACTAGTAAATCACAGGGGCTGTACCTCCTGTGATATTATTCGTAATATTCTAGGGGAATGTTGCTACTATTGTCATGGGGGTGTACACCCTGTGATATGACTCATCATATCCCAGCGGGATGTTACTACTAATGTCACAATGCCTGTACACCCTGTGATATGATTTGTAATATCCTAAAGAGATGTTACTACTAAGGTCACAATGCATGTACACCCTCTGATATAATTCGTTCTATCCTCGGGGTATGTTACTCCTAATGTCACACGGGGTGCACTCCCTGTCATATTATTCGTAATATCCAAGGGGGATATTATTTTTAATGTCACCGGGGGTGACATTACGCATTAAAAATGTGTATTAAAAGCCTGTGATACTATTCCTAATATCCTAGGGGCATGCTCTTCCGAATGTCACATGGGGTGTACAACATGTGTGTACACCTGCTGTGATATTATTTGTAATATCCTAGGGGAATGTTACTCCTGATGACACAGGCCGTGTACACCATGTGTGTACACCTCCTGTGTTATTATTCATAATATCCTAGGGGGATGTTTCTTTTAATGTCACAAAGAGTGTACAAAACGTCACAGAAGGTGTACACGTTGTGAGGTTAACTGTAGTACCCTAGAATGATGTTACTCCTAATATGTCACAGGGGTGTACACGCTTTGATGTTATTTATAATCTCATAGAGAGATGTGACTTCAAATATCACAGTGGGTGTACACACATAGTGTATATCCTGTGATAGTATTCATAATATCCTAGGGAGATGCAACTCCTGATATCACAGTGCGTGTACCCTGTGTGTGTACACCCTTGATATTAGTCATAATATCCAGGGTAAATATTACTCCTCATATCACACAGTGTGCACACCCTGTGATATTTTCCCTCATACTTTAGGGAGATATTGCTTCTAACACCACAGCGGGTGTAGCCCATGTGTGTATACTCTGTGACAGTATATTCTATATCCTAGGGAGGTATTACTCCTAATATCACAGTGGGGTCTTCACCCTGTGATATCATTCTTATTTGACCTTGCTGCCTTTTTTAACCCACCCTACAAAAGGAATGGAACAGATAAGAAGATATTGATATTAGACCTTGCTGCCTTGCGGCCGCCGCAGAACACTTTTAATATCCCCGTTTCTCAGGCTGTAGATGAAGGGGTTCAGCATGGGGGTGACCACCGTGTACATCACTGAGGCCACTGCACCCTTTCTCGGGGAAGATGACACATCTGAACTGAGGTACCCTCCAACGCCTGTTCCATAAAATCAGCAAACAACTGACAGGTGAGACCCACAGGTGGAGAAGGCTTTATAGTTCCCACCTGATGATGAAACCCTCAGAATGGAGGAAACAATTTTATAGTAAGAGAAAAGGGTCCCCGAGATCTGAAGAAAACCAAATATGGCAGCAGGGAAATACATGATTATGTTATTGGTGAAGGTGTCACAACATGCAAGATGGGGGAGTTGAGAAGGGTCACAGAAGAAATTAAGAATTTCCACATCCTTGAAGCAGGTCATTTGTAAGGCAATCAAGTTGTGCAGCTGGGTGTCTAAAAGACTGAGAAAAAAAAAAGACAACAAAACTAGAAAGCCACAGAAACACGGGTTCATGCTGGCTGAATGACATAGAGGGTGACAGATGGCTACAAACCGGTCATAGGCCATCACACTCAGGAGCGTGTCTCTCTTCCATGCCTCCAAAAATGGCAAAGAGAGACATCTGAGTCAGGCAGCCTGCATAGAAGATGACTCTGCCGTGAGATTGGATGTCCACAATCATCTTGGGGACCGTGGTGGAGGTGAAACCGATGTCAGGCAAGGACAGGTTGGAGAGGAAGAAGTACATGGGGGTGGGGAGGTGGGAGTCAGGGCTGACGTCCAGGATGATGATCAGGTTCCCCAGCACCGTGACCAGGCACATGGACAGGAACAGCCCAGCAAGGACCAGCTGCCGTTCTGGATCCTCTGAGGTTCTAGGAGGAGGAATATAGAGACATCTGTTAGATTCTGTGGGTCTGTAGAGATTGGGCACCTTTTGCCTAGAAAAGAGGGTTGAGAAATCGGAAACAAATAAACCAACACCCAGCATCGTGTCTGCATTTTGGATAGAAGCAATTCACAAGTAATGTTTTCAGATTTCAGAGCAATCCACACTCAGCAATATTTTGCAGTTCTGACAAACTCAATTGTCTTCTAATGCTTTCATCATTGATTTCTGTGTTATTCACTTCTTGCTGTACACACCTGCCTCAGAGACACTGGATTCAAGAATGTTCCAAGAACCAGATCATCATATATAATAAATTCGTAATTGCTAGAAAAGACAGCCTATCTTTACCGAAGGAAACTATGTAATAAAACCATTCTCTTCACTTTAAGAAAAAGGTTATCCTAATTCAAGGAAATTAAGAACTCAAATATTTTATTTTATTTGAATAGATTGATACAAATTCCCTTGATTTAGAACATCTGTAAACACTGTATAACTGCTGAGACCATGCCATCTGGAAATGAAATTAAAGTTGATAGTTCATAAGCAGAAAATAGTTCCACAGGCCAGTTAGGTCCTAGTGATTTCATCATTATGTTTTCTGACTTTTCTCCTTCAAGAGAGTAATTGCTTACTCAAATCGGTGGGTCTTGTTTTAAAATTCATGGAAGCTATAACTCCTGTCCTTAGCTTCGGTGGACTTAGAGTTTTCATCAGAACGTTTGGACGGACGCGGTGGCTCACGCCTGTGATCCCAGCATTTCGGGAGGCCGAGGAGGGCGGATCACGGGGTCAGGAGATCAAGACCATCCTGGCCAAAATGGTGAAACTCCGCCTCTACTGAAAATACAAAACTTTGCCCAGTATGGCGGCGCGCGCCTGTAGTCCCAGCTACTCAGGTGGCTGAGGCAGGAGAATGGCTTGAACCTGGGAGGCAGAGGCTACAGTGAGCTGAGATCACACCACTGCACTCCAGCCTGGGCAACAAGAGCAAAACTCCATCTCAAAAAACAAAAAACCAAAAAGACACGCTCTGTCACACTGACGTCACACTGATGACAGCCAATTTTTGTGAACCAAGGAAGTGTCAATTCAATAATTCACATAGATGTTTACTTTTGCTATCTCCTTTGTGCCAAGCAAGATATAGGCTCTGGGGAATCAGAAACAAAAGAGACTCACTTGTTCCTCTCACAATACTCAGTACTTACTGAGATAAGGACAAAATAAAATGTCCTGTCCGGAATGTAGGGAAACCAGAACTTCAGGTCAGGGGACATTTCCGTTGAACCGTATGGAGTTTAAGCTTAAAATATTAACGAATGTATCTAAAATTCACTTTGCCTTTACTTTACGCATCCGTCACATAGAGATCACGCAGCGGGAACCCACGATCGGTTTCATCATCGCTCACTTCCATTGGATCAATTAGAAATCAATCAGATGAGAGTGCTGAGTCTCAGAGGATGGATGTCTCACCCCTTGCCATACAGATAAGTAGAAAGGGTGGTATTGAAAATTAATGGCCAGACTCTAAGTCCCAGGCACTATATTTGATGGTCTCCCAACCCTCAAAATGTTGTGGGTTCTTTTTTGTTTTTGTTTTTGAGATGGAGTCTCGTTCTGTTGCCCAGGCTGGAGTGCAGTGGAGTGATCTCGGCTCACTGCAACCTCCGCATCCCAGGTTCAAGCTATTCTCTTACCTCAGCCTGCCAAGTAGCTGAGATGACAGGCGCTCGCCACTACGCCCGGCTAATATTTTTCTCTTTTTAGGAGAGGCGGGGTTTCACCATGTTGGCCAGGCTGGTCTCGAACACCTGACCTTGTGATTCACCTGCCTCAGCCTCCCAAAGTGCTGGGATTACAGGCGTGAGCCACCGCGCCCAGCTTCCAAAAGTTTTCAACAGAGCTTAGGGCTCTTAACCACAGGCACATGGGAGGAGCATTTTTGAAATGGTTTCCAGCTTCCTCAATAGGAATGGAAACCAAACCCCGAATTGATGACTCCTTTGAGGAAGTTGAGAGCTGTAAGGAAAGCCAGGAACAGGGGCAAGGGAGAGATGCATCCCGAATGATCCTGTGCCAATTCTTTCTGGAATCCTTGATGTGATCTCAGCTGCCCTTTCCCTACTTGACACAGTGATTGTGGCACCCACTAGTCTAGCTGTGGTCTACAAGGAACCCCCAAAGGGAAGGGCACAGTGAGCAGGGGCATCGGCCCGAGTGACAAGGATTTGAGAGGGCAGGCTGGATGCAGGGAGAGGACTGGCCAAATGCCATGTGTCTGGCCTTAGACTGCCTGGTTCAAATTGGGCTTCACTCTTTTTGACTTCATGATCTGGTACAAGTTCTATGAAAATGTGTTGCTCCTTTTCTAGTCTGTAAAATCATCAGGAAATGTGCACTAATAACTGGGAGACTACGCAGATGAAATGAAACAAGCTGCATAGAACACAGAGCTCAGAGTCTGGCCTTTAGGAAGCCCTCAGTAAGTGTTCATGATGCGGTGGTGTCTGTCATCATCCTCTTTATCCTCATCATCACCTTCATCATCTTTTTGTTGTTCTGAGGGAATAGTATAGAGGGACCCATTCCCTGCTATCGTGGGTGAGACGTCTATGAAAAGGACAACCAGTGGGGGAGGGAAGCAAAATTTTGAAGAATATTCCTGAGAGAGACCCCCCCCACCACAACCAAGAACAGAAACTCCACAGTCTGCTGAGCTGACAGTTTGCACGTTGGTCTCCTCCCATCTGCCCACGGCACTCTCCTGTTTGTCCTGAGGATGAGGAAATGAACAAGGCTCCCGACGGTCCCTCAGCACTCACTGAACTGCCCTTCCCCTCTGCTGGGCCATGACCATGGAGAACAGGTCCACTGTCCTCTCTGCGTGGTGCACATTGGAGGCTCAGACTCCATCCTCAAGGCTGGCCAGAAGACAGGGTGAGACATGAGCCTCCTGATACAGGTGACAGTTGTGGAGCCCACAGGACTGCAACCTCACACCGCGGAGCTGGAGGCACAGACTGAGTTTTTACTATTCTATGGTGTGGGGGGCTCAAGGCACAGAACTCCTCATTAGCCAGAGTCGCCCAAGTTCCCCAAGCTCTAAGGATTTCCTCATCATCATGCAAGAAGAAGAAGAGAAAAGTGAGTGTCCATAGAAGTTCTGGGGCTCTTCCTCTAATCAGGAGAGAGCTTGTGTGTATTATTCGCTTCTTTCTTTTCTTTTACAAGATCCAAGTGCTTTAATTTTCATCTTTTATTGTGGGAAAATATACCACGTATAAATGCTTAAAATTATAAATATATATTATTTCATATAGAATGGCCAGTATAAACATTTATAATTTCCACTATTTTTCAGTTTACAGTTTAATCACATTAGGTACATTCACATTGTTTAGCAACCATCACCGCCATCATCTCCAGAACAGTTTTATCCTTGAAAATGGAAATTGCACCCATAAACCAAACTCTCCATTCCTCTCTCTCTCGCCCACCCCTGGGGGCCACCATTCTATTTTGCAACTCTATAAGTTTAACTACTCTAGATACGTGATATAAGTGGAATCATACCGTGTTTAATTTTTTTGGTTCGTTTGTTTTGGAGACAAAGTCTTTCTCTGTCGCCCAGGCTGGAGTGCAGTGGCGTGGTCTCAGCTGACTGCCACCTCCACATCGTGGGTTCAAGCGATTCTTGTGTCTCAGTCTCCTGAGTAGCTGGGATCACAGGCGTGTGCCACCACGCCCAGCTAATTGTTGTATTTTTAATAGAGACGAGCTTTCACCATATTAGCCAGGCTGGTCTCGAACTCCTGACCTTAAGTGATCCGCCTGCCTCAGCCTCCCAAACTGCTGGGGTTACAGGTGCGAGCCACTGAGCCTGGTCATCTTTATCCTTTTGGGATTTATTTATTTCACTGACAAGAATGTCTTCAAGGTTCATCCGTGTTGCAGCCTGTGTCAGAAGTGCCTGTCAGGTTGCTGGGGTGTTTTTGTTTTTTTTTTTTTTTTTTTGGTTTTGTTTTGTTTTGTGTTCACATGGAGTCTCACTCTGTCGCACAGGCTGGAGTGCAGTGGCACAATCTGGGCTCACTGCAACCTCCGCCTCCCGGGTTCCAGCGATTCTTGTGCCTCAGCCTCCCGAGTAGCTGGGTCTATAGGCACACGCCATCATGCTTGTCTAATTTTTTGCATTTTCAGTAGAGACAGGGTTTCACCAAGATGGGCAGGCTGGTCTTGAATTCCTGACCTCAGGTGATCCGCCCACCTCGGTCTTCCAAGATGCTGGGATTACAGGCGTGAGCCACCGCACCGGCCAGAAGTGCCTGCATTTTTAAGGCTGAATAGTCTTCCATCGCATGAATGAATTGCAAGTGTGCTTTTTCATTCATCTGTCCACGAACCCTTGGGTTGCTTCCACATTTTGGCTGTTGTGAATAATGCTGCTATGAATTTGGGTGTGCAAATCTCTCTTCCACTCCTGCCTTCTAATTCTTTTTGGCAGGTACCCACAAGTGCCACTGCGGGAACATCTGATAATCCTGTTTCTACTTTTTCCGGTACACGCCATACTATTTCCCTGTTCCTTCACGGTTTTACATTCCCTCCAATCAGATTCGAGCATTCCTACTTCCCTCTAGTTTCACCAATGCTTGTTTGTTTATCATATCCATCCAAATGTGTGGTATCACATTCTTGGTTTGATTTGCGCTTCCCTAGGATGAGTGATTTTGAACATCATTTTAGATGCTTATTGGCCATTGCTGTATCTTCTTTAGGAACATGTCTACTCGAGTCTTCTGACCATTGTTGATGGGATGTTTTGGGTTTCTTGTTGTTTAGTTCTAGCTCTTCTTTGTATATGATGCATATCAGCCTCTTTTCACAGATATGATTTGCAAATATTTTTCCTAATCCATGGGTTACCTTTTCACTCAGTTCACAGTGTTTGCTGATGCACAAAAGTGTCTGTCATTTAGATGTAATCCAAGGAATATAATTTTCTTTAGTTGCCTATACTTTTGGTGTCATATCCCAGAAAGCATTGCCCAATCTGATGTCATGAAAGTGTGGCCAATGTTTTCTTTTAGGCATATTATACTTTCAGCACTTGGGGTTAGGTCTTTGATCCAGTTTGTATTAATTTTTGCACCTGGTGTGACATAGAGTCCACCTTCATTCTTCTGCCTGTGGAAATCAAGTTTCTCCAACACCATTTCTTGAAAAGGCTGCTTTTCCATCAATGGACTTTCTTAGCACTCATGTGAAAAATCATTTGAACATATAGGTGAGAAGTTATTTCTGGGCTCCAAAACAAACAAACAACAACAGACAACGGATAAGGATGCAGCATGTGCCAGGCACCATTGCTCATGCTTGTAATCCAAGCACTTTGGGAGGCCGAGGTGGGCGGATCAACTGAGGTCAGGAGTTCAAGACCAGCCTGACAGACAGGAAGAAACCCTCGTCTCTACTAGAAATACAACATTAGCTGGGTGTGCTGCCGCATGCCTGTAATCCCAGCTGCTCGGGAGATGGAGGCAGGAGAATCGCTTGAACCCAGGAGGCAGAGGTTGCGGTGAGCCAAGATTGCACCATTACACTCCAGCCTGGGCAACAAGAGTGAAACTCTCTCTCAAAACAAAAAACCAAAAACAAAAATCCAGCATGATTTCGAGAGCAGAAAGTGAACAGCTGAAAAACCAGCATAATGAGAAAAGTAGGAAGCTTCTTACCAAAGCATCTGGAAATATGCAAGAAATTCTTGTGAACTAAAATTTTCATACTGTACTATCAAACACTAGAACTCACTTATTCCATCTTTCTGTATTTTGGGACCCAATTATCCACTTCTCTTCATTCCCCATCCCACCCTTTTTCTTCCTAGCGTCTGCTAACCACCCTTATACTTTCCACCTTCCTGAGATTCCTTTTGTGTGTAGGTGTGTGATGGAGTCTCTTTCTGTTGCCCAGGTTGGAGTATACAGGCACAATCCGGGCTCACTGCAACCTCCGCCTCCCGAGTTCAAGCGCTTCTTGGGCCTCAGCCCTCCGAGTAGCTGAGACTACAGGCACGCGTCACCACGCCTGGCTAATTGTTTGTGTTTTTAGTAGAGATGGGGTTTCACCATGTTGTCCAGGTGGGTCTCGAACTCCGGGCCTCAAGTGATCCGTGCGACTCGGCCTCCCACAGTGCTGGGATTACAGGCCTGAGCCACCACACCTGGCCAAGATTTTCTTTTTTGTTCCTACATGGAAGTGAGGATATGAAATATTTGTCATTCTGTGCCTGGCTTATTTCACTTAATATAAAGACCTGCAATCTCATCCATTTTGTCTGCAGTGGAGAGGATTTTGTTTATTCCTTTTTAGGCTGAATAATACTTCATTGCGTGTGTATACCACAGTTTCTCAATTGAAACAAATTTCTAAAAAGCAAATATTTTTAACATGTCTCGGAATGTGAAACTTCAGGGATACTGTGCCCGTTTTATTCTTTTCTATTTCCCATCTTATGTATATGCAAGCGTATAACAAAGCAGCAATCAAAGTGTGTATAAATTTGTAATTTCAACAAATGTAAAATGAAAATGCTAAGTGGTGGCTGGGCGCGGTCACTCACGCCTGTAATCCCAGAACATTGGGAGGCGGAAGCGGGCGGATCACCTGAGGTTGGGAGTTCAAGACCAGCCTGACCAATATAGAGAACCACTGTCTGTACTAAAAATACCAAAAAAAAAAAAAAAAATTAGCCAGGCATGGTAGCGCATGCCTGTAATCTCAGCTACTTGGAAGGCTGAGACAGGAGAATCGCTTGAATACGGGAGGCAGAGGTTGCAGTGAGCCGAGATCGTGCCATTGCACTCCAGCCTGGGCAACAAGAGTGAAATTCTGCCTCAAAAAGAAAAAAAAAAAAAGAAAAAGAAAAAATAGAAAATGCTAAATGGTAAGAAACAACAGCATAATAAACATTTGTATGGTGTTGATGGACAATGCATTTGAACATAATATTTGAAGAAATCATATTACAATTAACTTCTGTTCTTACTCATTGGAGCTTGATGCCTCTAAAAACTTCGTCATTGGAACCACGTCTGGTGCTTTAAAAAAAAAAAAAAAAAAAAAAAAAAAAAACCCACATACTCACACAGGTGCAGGGAAATCAGAATCTCAGGTATTGAGACCCAGGCCTCATCATTTGTAAGCTCCCCAGGTGATTTGACTCAAAGCCAAGATTGAGGAAAGGTGATATGGATCTTTACACATAACCTGCCTAAATAGATTCTCTAGAAGCAGTTTATAAAGAAATTCCACAGGAACTCTGGAAGAGGATATGAATTTGATGTACAGTATGTCCTCACTTAACATCTTTGAAAGTCTTTTGGAAACTTCACCTTTAAGCAAAATTAGGTAGAGTGAAACCACTTATTCCTCACCAACATTATAACTACATGACTTTGAACGCACCAGTGGTGTTGGAGGACCTGCTGTACATTGCTTCCATAAAGTCAATTTTCAGGGAATTCCAAAATGAAGTGAGGACTTCCTGTATATAAAAAGATGGTTGTGATTTCACCTGGATGACAGGGTTATTGCTCAGAAACTAAAGGAGGCCGCCTAGGTAGAGAGGATTCTGTCATGAGGTTTCTGCTAAACAAAGGATCCCAGAATCCTCACCCATTCCAGTTAAAGGCATAACGAAGAAAGCAACATTCACAAAGGAAATGCGGAAAGGAATAAAAGCCATCAAGCCACAAAAATAATGTGACTAAGGGGCAGGATTTGCAGATGTAGGGATTGAATGTGGTTGCCCTTTCTCAACCACACAAGAAAAAGGATGGAACAGATCATGAGATTCGACTGTTCTGCTGCACACCCTCCACAGGGCACTTTGAATGTCCCTGTTTCTCAGGCTGTAGATGAAAGGGTTCAGCATGGGGGTGACCACAGCGTACATCACTGACGCCACCATACCATTCCTGAGGGGTGGTGCCACAGCTGAAGTCAGGTACACGCCAATGCCTGTTCCATAAAATAAGCAAACAACTGCCAGGTGACAGCCACAGGCTGAGAAGGCTTTGTACTTCCCATCTGATGATGAAATCCTTAGAATGGAGGGGACAATTTTATAGTAAGACAAAAGGATCCCTGAAATGGGAAGAAAACCAAACATAGTATTATCAAAATATATGAATATGCTATTGATGACGCTGTCATAAGAGGCAAGCTTGAGAAGTTGAGATGGCTCACAGACAAAATTAGAGATTTCCACATTCTTGAAGAAGGTGAATTGTAACACAATCCAACTGTGCAGCTGGGAATCCAACAGGCTAAGGAAAAAGGACACCAAAACGAAGAAGACACAGAGGTGAGGATTCACGATGACTGGGTAGTGCAGAGGGCGACAGATGGCTACAAAGCAGTCATAAGCCATCACAGTCAGGAACATGTCTACTATACATGCAAAAAGTACCAAGAAAGACATCTGTGTCAGGCAGCCCCCATAAGAGATGACTCTGCTATGCGACCCCATGTCCACAATCATCTTGGGAACCGTGGCCAAGGTGAAACCGATGTCAGCCCAGCACAGGTTGGAGAGGAAGAAGTACATGGGTGTGTGGGGGTGGGAGTCAGAGCTGACAGCCAGGATGCTGAGCAGGTTCCTCAGCACCGTGACCAGATACATGGACAGGGACAGCCCAGCAAGGATGGTCTGCAGTTCTGGATCCTCTGAGAGTCCCAGAAGGAGGAATTCTCAGACACCTGTGAGATTCCGTGGCTCTGTGTGTCTTGGACACCTTGGGAAGAAAAGAGGATTGGAAAAATAAAAGATAAAAACCAGCCCTTAATGCTGTGTGTATATTTTGGATGCAAGCAATTCACAAGGAACATTTTCACACTTGAGGACCATACACCGTCAGCAATATTTCTCAGCTGTGACAAACCCAAAAATCTCAGAATTATTACATGATTTACTTTTTTCTATTCAACTCCTTCTGTACATACTACTTTGGAGAAAATCTACTGAAGAATGTTAGAAGACCAAAATGTCATATATAACAAATCCATGATCTCAGTAAAATACGGCCTACTCTTTTCGGAAAAAATAAAATGCAATGAAGATGCTCTTCTCTCTCTAAGAAAAAGATCTCAGCCTAATTGAAAGAAATTAAGAAGCAGTGAAATACACTCTGTTTTATTCTGACACCGTGCGACAAATTCCTTTGATGTAGAATATGTAAAAGGATGATACAAGAGCTAGGACCGCATTATCTAAAAATGAAATCGAAACTTAGAGTTCTTAATCGGAAGACTTTTAAACATGCCAGTTACTTTTCATATTTATTATCCTCCTTACATTTTCTGACATCATTTCTTCATAAAAGTACATGCACACTCAAATATGGGAGATGTGTTTCCAAATTAATTGAATATATAACTCTTGGCCGAGCGCCATGGCTCACACCTGTAATCCCGGCACTTTGGGCGGCCGAGGCCGACGGATCACCTGAGGTCAGGAGTTCCAGACCAGCCTGGCCAACGTGGTGAAACCCCGTCTCTAGTGAAAATAAAAAAAAAATAGCCAGGCCTGGTGGCGGGTAACCCTAGCTACTCGGGAGGCTGAAGCAGGAGAATCCCTTAGAACCTGGAAGGCAGATATTGCACACCCTGTGATATTATTTTGGATATCCTAGCGAGATATTGCTCCTGACATCAGAGTGGGCGTACACCCTGTGATATTGTCTGTAATATCCTAGAAAGATGTTGCTCCTAATATCACAGTGGCTGCACACCCTGTGATATTAATTGTACTATCCTACAGAGATATTACTCCTAATAATACAGTGGGTGTACACCCTGTGATATTATTCATAATATATTACGGAGATACGACTCCTGATATCACAGTGAGTGTACACCATGTTTGTACACCCTGTGATATTATTTGTAACAACTTAGAAAAATATTACAGCTAATATCAAAGTGGGTGTACGCCCTGCGATGTTATTTGTTATCTACTCGGTAGATATTACTCCTAATATCACAGTGAGTGTACACCATGTGTGTACACACTGTGAAATTATTCTTAGTACCCTAGGAAGATATTACTCCTAATATCACAGTGGGTGTACACCCTGTGATATTATTTGTAATCACCTAGGGAGATACGATTCCTAATATTCCAGTGGGTGTACCCTGTGCGATGTTGTTTGTAACATCCTAGGAAGATATTATTCCTAATATCAAAGTGGATGTACACCATGTGTGTACACTCTGTGATATAATTCATAATATCCCAGAGAGATATTTCTCCTAATATCACAGTGGGTGTACACTCTGTGATATTATTCATACTATCCTAGAGAGATATTGCTCCCCGTATCACAGTGGGTGTACGCCCTGTGATATTATTCATCATATCCTAGAGAGACATTACCTCTAATATTACAGTTTCTCTACACCCTGTGGTATTATTCATAATATCCTAGGGAGATATTTTTCCTAACATCACAGTGCGTGTACACCATGGGTGGACACCCTGTGATGTTTCTCGTCATATCCTAGGGGGATATTACCCTTAATGTCACAGTGGGTGTACGCCACGTGTGTACACACTGAGATGTTACGCGTAATATCCTAGGGAGAAATTACGCCTAAAGTTACACTAGGTGTACACCATGTGTTTATATTCTCTGATGCTATTCGTAATATCTTAGAAAGTTATTAGTCCTAGTGCCACAGTGGGTGTATACCATGTGTGTACACTCTGTGATGTTCTTGGTATTATCCTAGGGAGATAGTTCTCATAACACCACCATGGGTGTACATCATGTCTTTACTCCCTGTGGTGTTATTGGTTATGTCCTGGGTTGATATTACTCCTAATATCACCGTGAGTGCACACGTGGGGGTACACGTGGGTGTACATTCTGTGATGTTATTCGTAATATCCTAGGGAGATATCACTCCCTGTGTCATAGTGGGTGTACGGCCTTGTGATATTCTTGGTAGTATCCTTGGGACGTATTACTCCTGTTATCACACTGGGTGTACACCCTGTGATAGTATTTGTCATATCCTAGGGAGATATTACTGTATACCTTGTGATATTATTTGTGATATTTTAGGGAGCTATTTCTCCTAAAGTCAGAGTGGGTGTACACCCTGTAATATTCTTCCTAATATCACAGTGGGTGTACACCATGAGTGATATTTTTTCTAATATCCAGCGGGTAAGAGGATGATATTGCTTCCAATATCACAGAAGGTGTACACCCCCCTGTGATATTGTTCTTAATATCCAGGGAAGGAGAGGATAACATTATTCCCAATATCACTGGTGGTGTACCATCTCCCGCCGGGATACTGTTCTTAATATCCGGAGGTGGAGAGAATGATGTTACTCCCAATATCACAGGGGGTGTACACCACCCCTGTTTGTAAACACCCCCTGTGATATTGTTCCAAATGGCCTGTGAAAGAGTAAATATGACTCCCATTATCGCGGGGGGTGTTCAGCCCTGATGATATTGTTTTCTAACATCCAGGGAAGGAAAGTATGCTATTACTCCCAATATCGCAGGGGTTGTACACCCTTTTGTGTTTTTGTGCGCAATATCCAGGAAAATAGAGCATGATATTACTCCCAATATCGAAGTAATTGTACAGCACCCCTGTGATGTTCTTCCTAATATCCAGAAAGGAAAAGAATGATATTACTCCCAACAGCGTAGGAAATGTATACCCGCGCTGTAATATCTTTCCCAATATCCAGGTGGAGAGAGGATCATATTACTTCCAATGTCACAGGGTGTGTACACCCCTCTGTGATCTTGTTGCTAACTTCCAGCTTTGGGGAGGACGACATTACTCCCAATATCGCAGGGGGAGTACACTCCCCCGTGACCTTGTTAGTCATTTCCTGGGTGGAGAGGATGATATTACTCCCAATATCGCAGGGGGTGTACACTTCCCTGTGAAAATCTTCCTCATATCCAGAGGGAGAGAGAATGGTATTACTCCCAGTACCGCAGGGGGTTTACACAGCCCTGTGATACTCTTCCTAATATACCCAGGGAGAGAGGATGATATCACTCCCAATATCGCAGGGGGTGTACACAACCCTGTGATATTGTTCCTAATATCCAGAGCGAAAGAGGATGATATGACTGTCAATATCGCAGAGGGTGTACACCCCTCCTGTAATATTGTTCTGAATACCCTGGGAGGGAGAGGATAAGGTTACGTTGAATATGGCAGGGAATGTACACCCTCCCCCCTCTGATACTCTTCCTAATGTCCAGGGGAAGAGAGGAAAATTTTACTCCCAATATCGCAGAGGCAGTACACCCCACCTGTGATGTTGTTCCCAATATACAAGGGGGGAGAGGATGATACTACTCTCAATATCGCAGGGCTGTTCACATCCCCAGTGACTTTTTTCCTAATATCTACGGGAGAGACAATTATATGACAGCAAATATCGCAGGGTCTGTACATCCCTTCCTGATATTGTTCCTCATATCCAGGGTGGAAGAGGATGATATCAAATATGAAAGGGGCTGTACACCCCCCACCCCTATGATATTGTTCTTAATATTCATGAGGGGAGACGATGATATTACTCCAAATATCGCAGGGGTTGTTGACACACCCCTGTGATATTGTTTCTGATATCTGTGGGGGAGAAAATCATATTACTTCCAATATTGCAGGTGGTGTATACCCCACCTGAAATATGGCACCGAATATCCAAAGAGGGAGAGGATGGTATTCATACCAATATCAAAGTGTGTGCACACGCCCCTTGTGATATGGTTTTTAATATCCAGTGGGCGGGAGGATGATATTAGTCCCAACATCCCAGAGGGTGTACACGACCCCTGTGATATTGTCCCTAACTCCCAGAGGGGAGAAGATGATATCACTCCCAATATCTCAGAAGTTGTACATCCCCCGTGATATTGTTCATCATATCCAGGGAGGCACAGGATGACATTCCATTGAATTTCATGACAGGCCTACAAGCACAGTGTGATATTGTTCCTAATATCCAAGAAGGGAGAGGATGATACTACTCCCAATAAAGCAGTGGGTGTACATCACCCCTGTGTTATTTTCTCTAATATCCGGGGCTGGGGGAGGTGGGGAGAGGATAACATTCCCTCAAATTTAGCAGGTGGTTTGACGCCCCTTGTGGTGTTGTTTTAAATATCCAGCAGGGAAGACAACAGTACTATTTTTGATAGTCCGATTCATCCGCTCCACCTTTCCAGAACTCTGAGGCTGGGAGGCGGCATGCAGTTTCCGTGTGATCCCCAATACCTTTGCCGTCTTCTGTACCAAGGCAGCCAAAAATGCAGGCCCGTTGTCTGAGCCGATCCATAAGGGCGGTCGAAATCTACGAATCAGATCTCGAAGAAGGACAGGGGTTACTTCACGAGTTTTCTCAGTTCGTGTTGGATAGGCCTCCACCCACCCAGAGTAGGTACGCCCAAGAACTAGTACATACTTGTTACCTCCACACTTTGGCATCTCTCTGAAGTCTACCTGGAGATCTTCAAAGGGGGCTGCTCCATAAGCTTGTATGCCGGGCGGAACGGCTGGACCTTGCCTCGCATCATGCTGTCGGCAGGTAACACACCGCTGCCTCACCGTTTTGGCAAGGGCTGACAGAGGCGAGATGTAGAAATACCAGCCTAACAACTTTTCCAGTGACTCCTGACCTCAATGGGTGGTTTCTTGCACAGCCAGTACAACTGCAGCTCCTAGCAGCTGTGGCACAGCTAGTCTCCCATCTGGTAACCGAATCCATCCTTCCTCGATCACTTGTCCTTCCCTCTACCTGGAGAAAGTCCTTTTCTTCTTTAGAAGAAGTAGGTCCAAGATCAGGTGCTTGAGGGAGCACTGATGCCCGGAAGGGGGCAGATGCTGCTTTTTGAGCCTCTGAGTCAGCGGGGGAATTCCCCAAACCCAGCAAGGTGGAAGCTCTCTGGTGTCCTCTGCAATGCATAACTGCCACCTTGTGGGGTTTCCATACTGCTTCTAATCATTGCAAGATTTCTTGTTGATATTTTCTGTCTTTTCCCCCAGAGTTCAGTAGGCCCTTTTCTATCACGCTCCATGCACTTGAAGGGTTAAAAAGACATACCAAGAATCAGTGTAAATGTTGACAGTCTCACGCTTACTGAGTTCTAAGGCATGAATGAAAGCAATGAGTTCAGCTTTCTGGGCTGCAGAGGCCTGCGGCAAGGATCTGGCTTCAACAACAGTGTCCAGGGTTATCACTGCATACCCTGCACCTCTCTCTCTCCTTGGGGGTTGAAGAAGCTGCTCCCATACACATATAGTTCCCAGTCTCCTGATGCCCAAGGCTGGTCCCAGAGGTCAGGTCTGCTAGAGTCAACTGAATCCAACACTTCTACACAATCAGGCTCGACAGTGCTCTCTGATACCGGGAGCAAGGTGGCAGGGTGTAGGGTGTTACAAACTTCAATGGTTATACGGGGATTCTCACAGAGCAAAGTTTGGTACTTGATGAGTCTGGCATCCGTTAGCCAATGATGTCCTTTAGTATTCATTAAAGTCACCACAGCACGGGAGGCCTTTATGTTCAGGTTTTGCCCAAGAGTCAGCTTATTTGCTTCTTGTACTAGCAGGGCAGTTGCTGCCAAGGCCCTCAAACAGGGGGGCCATCCTTTAGAAACCCCATCTAGTTGTTTAGAGAGGTAGGCCACCAGTCTCAGCCAGGGCCCCACAGTTTGGGTTCAAAGTCCAGCTGACATCTTTTCTCTCTCTGACGCATACAATGGAAAAGGCTTTGTCAGATCGGGTAGACCCAGGGCTGGGGCTGCCAGAAGTTTTTCCTTTAACTCATGAAAGAGTTGCTGTTGTTGGGATCCACATTCCAAAGCTTCCTGATCCCTGCCCCCTTTGTGACCTCATACAAAGGCTTGGCTAATACTGCAAAGTTTGGGATCCACAGTCTGCAAAACCCCACAGCTCCTAAGAATTCTCTCACCTGCCTTCTGGCCTTAGGCTCCGGTAGATTGCAAATGACCTGCTTTCTTTCTGATCCCGGGCTGCCTTCCAACCCCTGTCAGATAGTAAATCCCAAGTAAGGTACCTGCTGTTGGCAGATCTGAGCTTTCTTCTTGGACACCTTATACCCACAGTCCTCCAGGTGCCGGTGTGGGGCATCCGTTCCCGTGGCACACCCGACTGCCGTGGGGTGTCCCAGCAGAAGGTCATCAACCTACTGGAGCAACACGCAGCCTACGTCTCTGGTGGGAAACTTCTGGAGGTCTTGAGCCAACGCCTCCCCGAAGATGATGGGGGAGTTCTTGAACCCTTGGGGAAGTCTGGTCCAAGTGTACTGAGTAGTGACACCTGACTCCGGATCTTCCCACTGAAAGGCAAACAGCTTCTGCCTCTCAGGGGCTAATCTGATAGGAAAGAAAGCGTCTTTCAGGTCCAAGCAAGTGAACCAGCTGTCCTCAGCTGGCAGCAACCCCAACAATGTGGACGGGTTAGGTACTGTTGGATGTAAAGTGAGTGTAGCTTGATGAAGCAAGTGCAAATCCTGTACCGGCCGGTAGTCCTTGGTCCGTGGCTTGGGAACAAGCAGGAGGGGAGTGTTCCATGGAGACTAACAAGGAACAATAATTTCAAAAGTTCTTAGGTGCTTGAGACAGACCTGGATACCTTGAAGAACTTCTCTGGGGACTGGGTCCTGTTTTTGCCTCACCGTCTGGGCCCCAGTCTTAACTGGCCAATCCCAGAGGGTTGTCTTCTGCCCATACTCTTGGCCACCACTTAGCCAGAGCTGGTCTTCTCTCTTGGCCTGGCTCAGTTAAGAAAATTCTCCATTCCTCCTCTTGGGGGACTGTAAGGGTCATAATGACTCCCGTTCCAGGTAACTTTAGCAGCAAAGAGCCATGCTTTGTCAAAGACATAGTGGCTCTCAGCTTGCTGAGCAAGTTCCTTCCCAAAAAGGTCAAGGGACAGTCAGGCATGTACCAAAACTGATGAATGACTTTATGTCCTCCTACAGTACAAGTCCGAGACAAGCAGAAAGCTTGCTTTGCTGAAACCCTCATGGCTCCGATGGCGTCAATAGTCTTTTTGGATAAGGGGGTGACCAGGGCAGTTACTAGTGAATGTTCAGCACCGCTATCTTCAAGAAAATCAATGTCTCTACCCCCGACTGTCATTCTGACCAGAGGCTCTTTGGGAATGCTTGAGCCCGCTCTCCCTCAGTCCAATAACCCTTCTGCCAGGTTGAGCAGGGCCCATTCCTCCTTGTCCGGGGCCTCCTGTTCTGAGTCATCTTGTTTTCTTTTGAGCTGAGAGCATTTATTCTTCCACTGTCCTATTTCTTTACAATAAGCACACTGGTTACACTGCAAACTCTGACAGCCAGGCTGAGTTTCTTTCCCAGGGCCCCCCTTCCCTTGCCTCTTTGGGGGGCCCCTGTGATTGCTGCAGCTAACAGGTCAGTATTTTGCCGGCCCTGACCTCCCTTCTCTTTGCTGTTTTCCTTAGGGCTTACTGCATCCCTGTTTACAAACACCTGGCTAGCTATTTCTAGTAATTGTGATGGATTCATCCTTGCAAGCCCAGCCTGTTTCTGCAGTTTTCTTCTCATGTCTTCTGCGCTTTGATGGACTAAAGCCATGTTAATCATGCGCTGATTTCAGGGCTATCAGGATCAAAGGGATTATACATAAGATAGGCCTCACACAGTCTCTGGTAGAATTGTGCTGGACTTTCTTCTTTCCCTGAATGACCTCAGAGACCTTGTTAACGTTTGTGGCCTTCTGAGCTCCCCTCTTGAATCCTTCCAAGAGAGCTTCCCTGTCTCGATTTAGCCTTTGCATATCCTCTCTTTCATGTGGGTACCACTGGGGATCGGGTCCTGGTAACTGGGTCCTTACACACTCTTAGGGGTTTTGATAATCAGCTGGTGCATGTTCCTCTAGCCACTTAGTTGTTGCTTGGAGCACTCTCCGCCTTTCATCTCTGCTGTAGAGGAACATGAGCAACTGCTGGCAATCAGCCCAGGTGGCATTGTGGGTCTGGATAATAGTTTGGAGCAAATCAATTAGAGCTTGTGGCTTTTCGGTATAGGACGGGGTGTTGTTTTTCCAGTTGAGAAGGTCGGCAGAGGTGAAGGGCTGGTAAACAAAAACACGCCTCTCCACCACGTGACCATCTCATCTATCCTAGGATACCGCTGCTCTCTCAGGGGCATTTGTATCCCCGTTTTGGGTCGTAAACGAGCTGCCAAGGGAGGGGTTTCTCCGGAGTCTTCACCTCCTCTCTTGTCTACTCTGGGGGGCCTAGGGATATGCTTGTCTCGCGGAGGCAAGCACTGTGGGCTCAAGAGTGGGGAGCCTCTTGCCCTGGTAAGGGTAGAGCACCACTGGGATGTCTGGTGCCATCTCCTGCAATGGATCTTCTGATGTTGGGTCGAAGAGAACTTCAGGAGTTGATTTCCCTGGGCGGGTGGAGCGGGATCGTTCCTTAGCTATCTGTCCCTTTGCTACTAGTATTGCTGCTGCCTGCCCTCTTAGCCACTGTGGGGGGTCTAGCACCAGCTGTCACCAAGTGTCTATGTATGGGAACTGCTCTAGGTATCCTTTACCAGTTACCTTGTGCCACACCTTAGAAACAAGGGACCTGTCCAGGCTTCCTTCTGATGGCCAACCCACTTCTAATGGTAGGCAATCTATTTCGCACAAGGTTCTAAGTTCCCCTGGTGGTCTATCGGTTAGGATTCAGACCTCTCACCACTGCTACCCATGCTCGATTCCTGGTCAGGGAACCAAGAAATGGAGCAGGAAAACTTCTCAGACAGCCCATTAAAGAAAGAAGAGGGTTTTTTATTCGGCCAGGAGGAGCGTCGGCAGACTCCCATCTTAAGAGCCCAGCTACCCTAAGAAAGAGAGTTCCTGGCCCCTTTAAGGGCTTAAAACTCTAAGGGGTTCCACGTGAAAGGGTCGTGATGGATGAAGTAATGTCACCGTCTACCCTGGCTATCAGGAAGAACATCACTGGGGGGTGTATATTTTCTGCGATATTGTGAGGAACGTCGCAATATTTCTTATCGCAATTAATATCAATTATTAATTGACACTAATAATTATCAATATTAATAACTGATAATATAATTTTAAACATCAATACCAAAGATAATGATAATTAATATTAAATAGTTATACTAATGATAACAATAAATGATTAATATTAATGATTAATAACACCTGATATTAATAACTGATACTGATCTTATCATTAGAAAACACTATTAGCTCCTAATAATTTATATTAATATTAATAATATGAAAAATTTTATTAGCAGTTATTTCTTAATATTAATATTGGTAATTCATATTCATGTTAATAAATGAGTAATAATTAATACTCATACTACGTCTAATACCTCAGTGGGTGTACACCCACCTGTGATATTGTTCCTAATGTCCAGGGAGGGAGAGAGCATGATATTACGTTCAATATCGCAATAGGTGTACACCTACGCGGTGATATTCATCCGAATATAACATCCAGGGGGTGGAGTATGACGTTACTCCCAGTATAGCAGTGGGTGTACATCCACCCGGTGATATTGCTCCTAATATTCACGGAAGAAGAGAATGCTATTACTCCCAGTATCGCAGGAAGTGTACACAACTTCTGTGATATTGTTCCTAATATCCGGACGGGGAGAGGGTGATATTACCCCCAATATCGCAGGTTGTGTACAGCCACCCTGTGATATTGTTCCTAATAGCCAGGAAGGGAGAGGACGATATGACTCCCCATACAGCAGGAGGTGTACACCCACCCTGGGATATTATTCCTAATATCCATGGAGGAGAGGCTGATATTACTCCCAATATCGCAGGGGTTGCACATCCATTCTGTGATATTGTTCTCAATATTCAAAGGCCGAGAGGTTGATATTACTCCCAATATCACAGAAAGTGTACAAACCCGTGTGATATTGTTGCTACTATCCAGAAGAAGAAGAGGATATTACCCCCCATATCGCAGGAGGTGTACACCCACTCTGTGATATTTTTCCTAATAAGCAGGACGGGAGAGGACAATATTCTTCTTAATAGCGCCGGGTGTGTAGAGCCCCCCTGTGATATTGTCCCTAATATTCCAAGGCGGAGAGGATGATATTACTCCCAATACCGCAGAAAGTGTACACCACCCCAGTCATATTGTTCCCATGATCCAGGCGAGAAGCGGAAGATGTTACTTTCAATATGGCATGGGGTGGACACGCCCCCAGTTATATTGTTCCTAATTTCAACGTGGGAGAGGATGATACTACACCCAATGCCGCTGGGGGTAAAAACAGTCCTGTAATATTGTTCTTAATATCCATGGGGAAGAGGATGCTATTATTGCAAATAGTGCAGAGGATGTACCCCCGACTGTGATATAGATGGTAATTTCCAGAGAAGGAGAAGATATTACTGCCAATAAGGTAAACACGCTGTGTGACCACCGTGGACCGCAACATCCAGGGGAGCAGAGAGGTGAGGATATTACTCCCCGCATCGCGGGGGCGCCCGCACCCCTGAGATGTGGATCGTAATATCCAGGGGGGGAGAGGGGTGGGATATTACTTCCCGCATCGCTGGGGGCGCTGGGCCCCTGTGATGTGGATCATAATATCCAGGGGGGGAGAGGGGTGGAGATATTATTCTATTACTCCTTGAGTCTTTTCTCTTCTGCCACACTTGATTAACACCCTGGGACATTATTTTCCATATTCTAGCAAAATGCCATTACTAAAGTCACAGGAGTATTCACCCTGCGATGTTATTCGTAATATTGCGTGGAATGTTAATTCTGATGTCACAGGACTCTACGCACTGTGATATTATTTCCAATAGCCTAGCGGGACACTAATAAGTGTGTCACAATGTGTGTACAACTTGTGGTGTTATTCCTAATCTCCTAAGGGGAGGTTACTTTTATCGTCAGTCGGGGTATATTCTTTTTGATATTGTTCATAGTATCCTAGTGGGATGTCACTCCTTATGTCACAGGGTTTGTACACGTTGTCAAATTACTCTCATTATCCTTATCAGATGTCACTTCTCATATCACAGAGGTTGTACACGCTGTGATATTACCGTCATATTCTAGGGAAATGTTACTTTTCATATCACAGAGGGTGTACAACTTGTGAAATTATTCGTTATAGTTTTGTGGGATGTTACCCTAATGTCATACGGGGTGTACACACAGTGATACTACGTGCAATATTCTATCAAAATGTTACTCATAAATCACAGGTCCTGTACACCCTTTAATATTCTTCATAATATTCTGGGAAAACCTTCCTAGTAATGTCACAGGGCGTGTAGACCCTGTCATGAAATTCGTAATATCCTAGCAGGAGTTCACTACTAATTTCACAATGTGTGTACACCCTTTGATATTATCGTGTTATCCTGAAGAGATGTTACTACTGATGTCCAAGGCAGGTGCATTCTCTGATATTATTCGTTATGTCCTCGGGGGATGTACTTCTAATGTCACACGGGGTGTACTCCCTGTGTTCTATTTCATAATATCCTAGGGCAATTTTACTTTTAATGACACAGTGTGTGTACACATAGTGATATTATTCGTGATATTCTAGAAAGATGTTTCTCCTAATGTCACAGGGGTGTACACCCTGTGTTAGTATTCATAATTTCCCAGAGGTGTATACTCCTATTGTCACACTAGATAATCCCCTGTGACATTATTTGTAATATTCCAGGGAGATGATACTCCTAATGTCACAGGGGGTGTACACCCCATCATATTATTCTTACTATTCTAGAGAAATGTTACTCTTAAAGTCACAGGTGTGTTCCTTCTGTGATATTCTTGAAAATATGTTAGCAAGATATTACTACTAATGTCACAATGCGTGTACACCTTGTGATATTATTAGCAATATTCAGGGTGTTGTTACTCCTAACGTTACAGGGGTGTACACCGTGTGATATTGTTCCCAATATTGTCGGTGGATGTTTCTCCTAATGTCACAGGGGGTGTCCCCTCTCGATATTATTTGTAATCTTATAGAGAGATGTTACTGTAAATATCACAGTGGGTGTACACACATGGGGTACCCCCACTGGGATATTATTTGTAATATCTTTGAGAGATATAACTCCTAATATCACAGTGGGTGTACCCCATGTGTGTACACCTTGTGATATTATTTGTAATATTCATGGTAAACATTACTTCTAGTAACCCACCAGAGAGTACACCCCGTGATATTTTTCATAATATCATAGGGAGATATTGCTGCTAATAACACAGTGGGTGTACACCATGTGTGTACATTCTTGTGATATGATAGCTTATATCCTAGGGAGATATTCCTTCTAATATCACAGTGAGTTTACACCCTGTGATATAATTCATAATATCCTAGAAAGATGTTGCTGCTAATATCACAGAGGGTGTGCCCCCAGTGACATTATTTGTAATATCCTAGGGAGATGTTACTCCTAATGTCACAGGGGGTGTACACCCTGTTATATTATTCATAATATTCTAGGGGGGTGTTACATTTAAAGTCACAGGGTTTTACACCCTGTGATGTTATCCGTAATATCCTAGGAAGAGGTTACTCCTACTATCACGGGTTATCCTAGGAAGAGGTTACTCCTCATATCACACTCCTAATATCACACCCTGTGATAACATTCAGAATCTCCAAAAGGGATGTTACTCTTAATGTCACATAGGGTGTACACCTTTTGATATTATTCGTAAGATCCCAGGGACATATTACTTCAACTATCACATTGGGTGTACACACATGTTGTACACATCATGTGTGAACACCTACTGTGATATTATTCATAATATCCTTGGGAAATGGTACTCCTAATATCACAGTGAGTGTACACACTGTGATATTATTAGTAATATCCTATGGGAATATTACTCCTAAACCAAAGGCCTGTGTACCCCCTATGATATTATTCATAATATTTTAGGGAGATGTTATTCCTAATGTAATATCACAGGGGTGTACACCCTGTGATATTATTCACAGTATATGAGAGGGATATTAGCACTGAAGTCACAATGTGTGTGCACCTTGTGATATTATTCATAACATCCTACGGGGATGTTACTCCTATTGTCACAGGGGTTGTGTTCACTATGATAGTATTTGCAGTCTCCTAGACGGATATTACACCTAATGTCACAGGGTGCGTACATCTTGATATATTATTCGTGATATCCTAAAGAGACATTACTCCTCATGTCACAGGGGCTGTATATACCCTGTGATATTATTCATAATATCCTAGCGAGATGTTACTTTTAATGTCACAGAGGGTGTGCACCTTTTGAAATTATTCATCACAGTTTCGTGGGATGTTACTCCTAATGTCACACGGAGTGCACACCGAAGGATACTACTTGTAATATTCTATAGAAATGTTACTCATAAATCACAGGTGTTCTACACCCTGTAATGTTATGGGTCATATTCTAGGGGAATGTGATATAAATTAATGTCACCCGGTGTGTACACCTTGTGATATTATTTGTAACATCCTAGCGGGATGTTACTACTAATGTCACAATATGTGTACACCCTCTTTCTTATATCCTCATGGGTTATTCCTCCTATGTCACATGGGGTGTACTCCCTGTGACATTATTCAGAATATCTTAGCGGGATTTTACTTTTAATGTCACAAATGGTGTACACATTGTGATATTACTCATGATGTTCTAGAAAGATGTACTCCTAATGTCACAGGGGGTGTACACCCTGTGATATTACACAGGCTAACCCCCTGGGGCATTATTCTTAGTACTTTAGCAGGATGATACTCCTAAAGTCACAGGAGGTGTATGCCCTGTGATATTATTCAGAATATTTCAGGGGGATATTACTCCTAAAGTCACAGGTGCGTATACCCTGTGATAGTATTCACACTAGCGGGATATTACTACTAATGTCACCGTGTGTGTACACCTTCTGATATTATTTGAAATATCCTGAGAGGATGTTACTCCTAGCATCACAGGGGTGTATACCCTGTGTTATTATTAGTACTATTCTAGGGGGATTTTACTTTTAAAATCACAGGGTGTGTCAACCCTGGGATCTTATTCATAATATCCTAGGAAGCTGTTACTCGCAATGTCACATGGGGTGTACACCCTGGGATATTATTTCAAATATCCTAACGGGATGTTATCTTAAGGTCATAGGGTGTGTACACCCCTTGATCTTATTAGTAATATCGTAGGAAGGAGTTACTCACAATGTCACAGAGGGTGTACACCCTGTGAAGTTATTCATAATAGTTTTGGGGTCCGCTACTCCTAATGTCACCCGTAGTGTACAAACAGTGATATTATTCCTAATATTTTATGGAAATGTTACTCCTAATATCACAGGGGCTGTACACCTTGTAATATTATTCATAATATCCTAAGGTAATGTTACCTCTAATGTCATGGGGGGTGTACACCGTATGACATGGCTCCCAATATTGTAGGGAGATGTTACTCCTAATATCACAGGGGGTATTCACACTGTGATAATATTCGTAATATCCTAAATGGATGTTACTGCTAATGTCACAACACTTGTGCAGCCTCTGTATTTGTTCCTTATATCCTTGGCTGAGGTTACTTCTACTGTCACACGGGGTGTACTCCCTGTGATATTATTCATAATATCCTAGGTGGATGTTACTCCTCGTGTCACAGGGGCTGTGCATCTTGTGATATTATTCACAATATCCTAGAAAGATGTTACTCCTCAGGTCACAGGGGATGTACACCCTGTGGTATTATTCATACTATCCTAGGGGAGTTACTCCAAATGTCACAGAAGGTGTATACTCTGTGATATTACTCGTAATGTGTCAGGGAAATGTACTCTTAACACCACAGGGCATGTGCACCATGTGTGCACAGCCCCTGTGATGTTGTTTGTAATATTCTTGAGGGATGTTAATCCTAACATTCCATATGATGTTAACCATGTGCGAACACCTTTGTGGTATTATTCCTAACATACTAGGAGGATGTAACTCTTAACATCACATGGGGTATACGCCATGTGTGTACACATTCTGTGATATTATTCATAACATTGTAGGGAGATGCTACTCCTAATTTTACAAGGTGCGTACATTATATGTGTACTCCCCCTCTGATGTTATTCGTAATATTCTAGGGGAATGTTGCTGCTAATGTCACAGGGACAGTACACCATGTGTATGCAACCCTGGTAATATTATTTCTAATATCTTGGGGGAATGTTGCTCCTAATGTCACCTGGAGTGTACACCATATGTGTACACCTTCTATGATATTATTCATAAATCACAGAAAAAGATTACGCCTAATGTAACAGGATGTGTACACCGTGTGCGTCAACTGCCATTGATATTATTCGTAATATACGAGGGGGATGTGACTTTTAATGTCACAAAGGGTGTACAAAATGTCACAGAGTGGGTATGCCTTATGATATTATTCCTGATATCCAGAAGGATGTTACTCCTAAGGTCACAGGGGGTGTACACCCTTTGATACTATTTGTAGTCTTATAGGGAGATATTACTGTAAATCTACAGTGGGTGTACATTCACTGTGATATTATTTGTAATATCTCAGAGATATTACAGAGTTATAGCTCTCTGTGTTATATTAGAGAGTTTTGTCTCTCTAAGACAATATGAATAATACCACAGTGCGTGTACCTCATGTGTGTACACCCTGTGATATTATTTGTAATATCCATAGTAAACATTACATCTAATATCACAGAGAGTGTACTCCCTTTGATATTTCTCATACTATCATAGGGAGATATTGCTTCTAATATCACAGTGGGTGTACACCATGCGTGTACATTCTGTGATATGATACCTTATATCCTAGGGAGATATCTCTCTGAATATCACAGCGTGTGTACACCTTGTGATATTATTCATATATCATAGAAGGATGTTACTCCCAATATGACAGAGGGTGTACACCCAGTGATATTCTTCATAATATCCTAGGGAGATGTTACTCCTAATGTCACTCGGGGTGTACACCCATGATATTATTCGTAATATTCTAGGGGGATGTTACTTTAAAAGTCACAGGGGGCGTACACCCTGTGATGTCATTCGTAACATCCTAAGAAGATGTTACCCTTAATGTCACATGGGGTGTACACCCTGTGATATTACTCAGAATATCTTATGGGGATGCTACTCCTAATGTCACAGGCTGTGTACACCCTGTGATATTATTCAGAATATCCACAGAGATGTTACTTTTGATGTCACAGACGGGGTCCACACTTTGATATTTTTTGTCATATCTTAGGGAGATATTACTTCAAATATCACAGTGGGTATATACCCACTGTGATGTTATTTGCAATACCCTATGGAAATATAACTTTTAATATCACAGTAGGTGTACACGCTATTTGTGTACACCTTCTTAGAGTTTAAAGGCTTGTGGACAGATGTTTTGAATAAACTAAGCTTCTTAATATATATAAAAAAGGCAAGTTAAAACTGGTATTTATTCTTCTTCAAAATATTTTTCTGTAGTCAATGTAAGTATTTAAGAAGTTGTCAGCGTTTTTAATCTTAAGGAAGTCGGTTGGGGTCCATACCTTATGTCAACTGCACAGATTGTATAGTGTCCAAAGTACCTGTGCATAACATGGGAAGACAAAGGAGGTGGCTCCAGGCTGCCCCGCAGAGTGCCTGGTATTAATCTGAAAACAAACTGTGCCTCTACTCATCGCCAAGCAAACGCTGACTTCACTGGTGCCTGTTGTCTTCATTAGAAGCTCTGCATCAAAACAAATACTCTAATAAATATGCTTGTTATATTTTATTATCTATTCTAGAGATCATCTTTTCATCTTTTTAACTTACCCACATTTTATGTCCTTTGATGCCTTTAACAGGCCCACCAGGGTTTCAGTTAAATAAACAAACTGTTAGGCTGAGAAACTATGTCAAATGGGCACAACTGGCAGGCTATTAATAAATCTAGACACTTAAGAATTTTAGCCTTGACAGAGATACTCCAGTGGGAAATAAACTTAAAATATTCTAGCCCAAAGAAGCCCCCAGCAATGACTCAGTCCAAATAGCGTGAAATATATAGTGTATTTCAGATCTTCCTGGGCTCTGCAGGAATTTGAATTAATCATCTTTTAGACTCATCCTGGGTCAGGAGGAAAGACATTCATTGCTTGGTTAACTATCTGGGAATTTTTTTTCCCTAGCCTGTGTTGGGGAAAGAAGGAATATTTGTTGAGGGACTCTTTTTTTTTTTTTTTTTTTTTTTGAGACAGCGTCTTGCTCTGTCATCCAGGCTGGAGTCCAGTGGTGTGATCACAGCTCACTGCAACTGCAGTCTCGACCTCACAGGCTCAAGCAATCCTCCTGCCTCAGCCTCCTGAGTAGCTAGGACTAGAGGAATGGGCCACCACACCTGGCTAATTTTTGTGTTTTTTGTCGAGACAGTGTGTCGCCATGTTGCCCAGGGTGGTCTTGAACTCCTGGACTCAAGCGACCCACCCGCTTTGGCCTCCCAAAGTGCTGGGATTACAGGCATGAGCCACTGCACCCAGCCATGTTGAGGGACTCTTGAAGTTAATTTGCAGATTTCCTGCACACCCTAATGGGCACTGAGCCCCCAGAAAAGCGAGGAATTCTAAGGAATGCCTCCCTGCACTGCAGGGGAGGTTCGGCAACCTCTGTGCTCTCATCCATTCAGGGAATGCATGCTCCCAAGGCAGGCCTGGCTCTACACACAGTACAATATGGTCCCTCCCTGCAGGGAGCTTACAGTCTGGAGAGGAAGATAATTAAGCAAGTAGAGTAAAAAGAGTGAATTTTCACGGAGTAAATTGTTTTCTCCTCACCTCCAGAGGCCTGGCATGGTGAGCCCCCGCATTCTGAACTCACTTTCTATCACACTGCCCCGTCTACTTTGCTGCAGCCACAGAGGCTGCCATCTTGCTGCTCCTCAAATGAGTCAACCTTGCTCCTGACTCAGGGCCTTGCACTTGCTGTGCTGCCTGCCTGGAGCTCTCTTTCCCCAGGCCATGGACACCTCTGAGGCTTCCTCACAGCACTAAAGATACACCCTCTCACCCTCCTCGATTCACACACCCCACTCACTGGCTTTTTCTCTTTATAATTATTCCTTTGTGACCTGCTCATGTTCTTAACAGCACGTGCCAGCATTTGAAATGAGGCCAGGTGCTGATTGCTGCTGGCATCCCCATCAGAATGTAAGCACCCTGCAGGCAGGGCCCTCAGCTGTCCTGTCTACTGCAATTTCCCCAGAACAATGCCTGGCACTGATCAGTATAGGCGCGCAGTAAAGACTTGTTGATAAGTAAGTGTAATACTAGAAGCACACGGTGTTCAGGGAACGCATTCTGGGGTGATTAGGGTAGGCTTCCCAGAGAAAGTGATATTTGTGGGAGTTTCCAGGATTTGGAGAAGAAGAGAGTCACTAAGGAGGGGAGGCAGAGAAAGCATGAAGGGCTGGCTGCAGAAATCGCATTTGAGGGCTGCACCAGCAATCTCGATGATCGCAAAATATCGGCAAAAGGCGAGAGGTGAGAAAGAGCCCCTGCATCTGGCCTTTGGCACAGTATCTGCTGAGCTCTCAGAATAAGCTTGCTTGCAGCAGAGCTGCCCCTCAACCACCCCTGAGAGAAGACAACTGGAGGGACACGCGTTGCTCCATGGCGCCACTTTGTGGCCAGAGCCCTTGGAAGCAGGCGCGTGTGTTCATCGCTTGTGTCTGGCTGGACATCTCCCTCCTCTGATTTTCTGATGGCCAAACAAACACACAATACTGTAGCAAAGTGGATCCTTTGGGAAAACCCCTCCTCAGTCTTGGCATTTGTAAGGATTGTATCTTGTTTAAAGGTGGGCTCTGCTGGACAATCATAATCACAGCACATACCTATGGAGGGTATGTGCTATCCTATGCTCTGGGGATACTTTGCACATTCATTCACTTAATCCTCACAGTACCGTGACTGTCAGCATCTCCATTTCACACAAGAGGAAGCTGAGGTCTGGAATGCTAAAATGCCAGGGTGCAGGGCTAGTAAGTGGCAGAGCAGGACTCACACCCAGGCCGCTGGCTCCACATCCATGCTCCCCACCATGGCCTGGTGCCACACTAAGGGCAAGAGAGGGCTGGACCTGGACAGCTAAGGGAGGGGTGAAGCAGCCATCAGTGCAGTAGGGAACAAACACCTCCACTGTGATCATCTCTCCCAGCCCAGGCTGTCCCCCAAGGACCCAGAGCCAACGGGGCTGCCAATCAAGTCAGAAAAACTCCACAGTGGAGGACAGTGCAGGGAGCAGCCCCGAGCCTCCCGAGTGTCTCAGGGCACCATGCCAGGGGGTGTCACTCTGCCAGGCTCACCCTGCTCCAATCCTGTGCCAAGAGAGCCCAAATGCTGCCGGGCCTGAGAGTGCAGCTGCGTTCTCAGCCTTGTTCACCATTTATGGTATCTGAGCCTGTCTGGTCTTTATAGCCCAGTACATCCCCCACACTGGGAGGGGGTTCTCTCATGCAGGCCTCTTCTCAGAACAAATCCAAACTTACTTGGCAGAGTTTTTGCCTGGGACCTCTCTGTGCCTTTTTTTTTTTTTTTTTTTTTTTGTGGATGGGTGGTGATCCTTCAGGCCCCAGCCCCCACAGGCCCAGGAGTCAGGAGAATGGCCCTAAAGAGTTCTTGATCTTTCGCCTGGGACTCCCACCTCCAGGGGACTCTTAGCTCAGCTGGGTCACTCTAATCCAATCTAAACACAGGCAAGCCAGGACAGACATTGGATTAGCCCTTGGCTGTGGCTGTGGAGGGAGAGTCTCAGAAAACAGAGGGCTGAGCCATGTGGCTCTACGTGTAGCATTCTGACTCTTGCTGCCCCTTACTCGACTCGGGTTGGCCATGCTGGCCTCCAAGAAGAGCCCCCAGGTGGAAGGTGAGTCCTGCTCCCTGACCCTCAGAGACAAGGTTCTCAGCAGTTCAGGTTTCCTCTGAAATCTCATTATCACAATTTCCTGAGCTCCCCACCTGGCTCCCAGGGAGTCATGAAGTTAGAACTATGAGGATAAATGAGTAAGTTTGTAAACCAGAATCTGGCTGCAAATTCCCAGAGGCCAGAGTTGGGCTCTGAGCCCAGTGTGATAGGTTTCCTGGAAGGAAGAGGTGGACCAGTTTCCCAATAACGACTCTATGCTGAGGCATCTCTTCAGTTAGAGCACCCAGAGAGCATGCTCACTCCTGGCAGAGAGCTTCACGGAGCCAGGCTCGGCCACATTCTCCATCAGTGCCAGTTCCTTCATCCCTAAGGGACTGACACTGCCCAGCCCACAGTGGCCAGTCTTCCCCTTTGGGCCAGGGGACGTGCCCTCTGAAAAAGGTCAGGGCATAGGAATGAGTGCAGACTTGAAAGTCACAGGCTGTGGGCTCCAGGGTCCAGATTTGCAGACTAGTGTGATGTGCTTAGGCAAGTTACATTCACTTCCTGAGACTTCCAGAGCCTTCCATCTGAAATCAGGACAGCATCCTTGTCCCCTAGGCTACTGAGGTCTCAGTGAGAGAATACGGGTGAGGTGAAAGTATTTAACACAGTAAGCCACAAATGTTTCTTCCCCTTTCCTTTTCTGCGAAACTTCCTCCTGCAGCCTCCCAGACAGTGGCTACTCATACAACACGGAGATGTTCCTGACAGGCCTGAGCCCCAGGGAATGGAGAGATGTATCCTCCTGCTTGTCTGATGGGAGACCAGTCACGCTGCACTCAGTGCTAGCACCAGAGGACCCAGTCATGCACAGGAGCCGGGGGCGTAGGCTCAGGGTGATGGTGGGATCAGGCTTACCTGAAAGCCCTGGACCCAAGAAGCACTTCCGTGGGAACTGTCACCAGGCCTGCTGATACCACAGCCCAGACAGATCTGTCTTGAGTCTGTGGCTCCCTGCAATTCCCAGGGACTAAGTGCTTGGCTGATGAATGGATGACCATGATAATCAGATTACTGGAGACCAGGCTGCTGATGTGTAAAAACAAGCCTGGGCCCGTGAGTAGAAAGGGGGCAGAAAGGGGACAACCTGTGACCCTCTGGAAGCCTCAGTGTGCACTCTGTGACCCAGGGTCCCCCAGCATGTAAGGGGTCACTGGGAGGCCACTGACTGCTCAGGGAATACGTGAGTGCTCTCCCAAGTCCTTTTGTAGTGTGCGAGGTTTTCTTCTGACCAGACCTGGAGCTTCTGGAGCTAAGGGAGCCCTATCTCTTTCCCCCATACCTTTCCATGGCCCCAGTGGAGAGAGGGGGTGAGGAAAAGGCCACCTCTGATGACACCCTTGTCGCTGTGAACTCCTGGAGGTCATCTCCCTCACTTCCTACCTGCAGGTGCAGCACTTTTTAAGGACCCTCTCCTCTGTCCCTAAGAGGTTGCAGCAGCCACTCCTCTGTCACGGCACCTGCCGCTGCCAGTGGTGTGGAGTAGTGCCATGTGCACCTCTGCTCCCTGGATTTTAGCTCATGATACCATTTTCTACAAATGTGCCCTTCTTCCAAAGCAGAAGTGTCTGCAGGAAAGGTGCTTCTACTCGGGTGACCAGAGGCTCCTACCACGGACGGTGACCCGGGCGCTACAGGACACCTGCCCCAAGGCATTCTCAGCCAGGCAGGTGTAGGTGCCATGGTCCTCCGGCAGGGCATCCTGGATGTGGAGCTCAGCCACGCCGGCCTCGCAGGTGGAGCGAGCATACTGGATGGGCTGCCCTGTGGAGGAAGCACAGGGAGGCTCAGGCCAGGCAGCACTGGCAGTAGGGATGGGAGCCCTGTCCTCAGCAGGGCTGCTGCTGTCATGACGCTGAGACTTGTCATGCTTGCTCAGATCCATTGAGGGCTAACAATGTGTCATGCACATCTCCAGCTGGGCTAGGTTTGATATCCACTTGGGGCCTGATGCCTACCTTGGGCACGATGTCCATCTAGTGCCTGGTGTCCACTTGGGACCTGGGTATTGACCTGGGGCCTAGGTGTCCACTTCAGGTCTGACGTCCTTTTATCACCCCGGGCCCTGATGTCCACCTCGGGACTGGGTATCCATCTGGGGCCTGATGTCCACCTTGTGTCAGATGTCAATCTGGAGCTTGATGTCTACCTGGGACCTTATGTCCACCTCAGGACTGGTATACACCTTGGGCCTGGTGTCCACCTGGGGTCTGACATACATCTGCAGACTAGGTATGAACATGGGGCCTTGTGTCTACCTGGAGCATGAGTGTCAACCGAGGGCTTGATGTTCACCTACAGTCCAGTGTCCTCCTTGGGCCTATGTCAAATTGAGGCTGGGTATTTACCTGGGGCATGGTTGTCTGCTTGAGGTCTAATGTTGACCACCTAGTTCATGGTGTCAGCCTGGGGCTGGTGTTCACCTGAAGCCTGATGTTCACCTGGGGCCTATTGTCCACCAGAGTCCTGGCATCTGCCTTGAGCCTGATGGCCCCTGGTGACAGGGTATCCACCTTGGGCCTGATGTCAAACTTGGGCGTAGGTATCCACTTAGGAATTAGTATTGACCTGGGGCCCGATATCTACCTAGGACCAGATGTTCAGATGGGGACTGGAGTTCTCTTGGGTCTGGTGTGTACCCGGGGCCTGGGCATCATCCTGGGGCTTGAGGTGCCTCTTGGGATGTCCACCTGGCGCCAAATGTCCACTTGGTGCCTGATGTCTACCTGGGGCTTGGTGTTCACCTGAGTCCTGATATTCACCTGGGGCCTGGGTGTCCATGTGGAACCTGATGTGTGGCTGGGGCCTGGGCTTCCTTCTGGGGCTGGGTATCAACCTGGGGCCTGATGTTCACCAGGTGCCTAGGTATCTACCTGAGGCCTGGGGCCCATCTAGGGCCGGACGTACACCTGGGGCCTAGGCATCCACCTGGGGCCTGATATTCTTCTGGGACTTGAAGTTCACCTGGGTCCTTGTGTCCAGCTACAGCCTGATGTCCACCTAGGGCCTGGTGTTCACTTGGGGCCTGATGTAACCCGGAACTTAGGTGTCCACCTAGGGCCTGGTTTCCACCTGGGGTCTGATATCCACCCAGAGTCTGGTGTTCACCTGGGGCCTTTTGTTCCCCTGAATCATGGGTGTTTACTTGGGGCCTGATGTCTACTGGAGTCCAGCATCTACCTGGGGCCTGATGTTCACCTGGAGCCTGGGTGTCCACCTGGATCCTGGTGTCAACTGGGGACCTGGGTATTTACCTGATACCCGAGTGTAAACCTGTGGCCCATGGACCAGGGGAATATGGAAATTCAGAGGATGGGGCATAGTGACAGGCATGCATGGCTCTGACCATGGATGGAGGGCTGTCACTCTGATTTGTCTGGCTACTTGTGTGGCTCCAAATCATCATTTACAGCATCTTTTTGATGAATCCAACCATTCTGTACTGAAACTTTATTTCTCTGCTTGTTAGGTCTCTAAACCACGCTAGTGGCTGACATTCTTCACTGCAACCCGAGAGCCACCACCTTCTCCCCAAGTGTCTCCCCATGGGTGCACAACAGGTGGCCCTTGCCGAGGGATTGTTCCTGCTGTCACTGCTGCTCACTGAGAAGCCAAAAGGAGGGAAGTCTAGAAGTAACAGAGAGCTCCACCAGCAGGTGGGGAAAGAGAGAAAGGACCTTCAGGACTATCCTTTAACAAGGTCCATGGGCATTATCCCTTGGGCTTTCCTGCAAGGTGTTGGAGATTGGCTGGCTTACAGAAAACACATGTGAAGATAAACTTATTTCCACGACCCTGGTCTTGACCATTAGGTTTTATCATGGTCAGCAGTTGTGGAGAGTGTCGGGTTTAGGGTCAGTGGGATGAAGACCAAACAGGGTATATGGCAAACAACCACAGAGGTGGACAAAGTTGTAACTAGGCAAAAGGAGATGAGGCACACTGGATTTCAAACAACTTATGCCAGGCCTGAAAATGGAAGCCAAAGCAGCAACCATATTAAATACATTTATGACACCAATTGAAGCAGATGTGGTGGCTATTTCAATGTTCACCGATAATTATTACATTTAGGAAAAATTTAGTGGAGATAGCTTTTCACAGAAAGAGTCCTCTGAAACTTTACCAAAAAGTATACAGAAGATAGAGTATTTATATAAAAGGGCCAGTTCTCATTGAAAGGCAAGCTCTGCCATGGAATGGGTTTTCTTTAATGGGTTTATAATGAGCTGCAGGCGGTCATCTAGAGCTATGTTGAATTATGAGGTTATTAATGGTATTGAGGGAAGAAGCAAGTAATCAGCAGTAGAGTTTAATAGCTCTTTAAAAATGCCCTTGACCTGGCACAGAGGCACATGCCTGTAATTCCACACTTCGGAAGGCCGAGGTGGGTGGATCACCTGAGGTCAGCAGTTCGAGACCAGCCTGGAGAACATGACAAAACCCCGTCTCTACTAAAATTACAAAAAAATTAGCTGGGCGTGGTGGCTGGCACCGGTAATCCCAGCTACTCAGGACGCTGGGGCAGGAGAATCCCTTGAACCTGGGAGACGGAGGTTGCAATGAGCCGAGATCGCACCATTGCACTCCAGCCTGGACAACAACAGTGAGACTCCAGCTCAAGAAAAAAAAAATGCCCTTGACCTCAATGAACTGTTTCAAATGTATCTTTTTTTTTAATTCTCTTTTTTTATTTTTAAAATTTTTTATTTTTAAGTTTTGTGGGTACACAGTAGGTATATAAATTTATGGGGGACATGAGATGTTTTGATACAGACATGCAATGTGGGATGTGTATATGTGTATGTATATGTGTATACACAGTTGGCCCTCCACATCCATGGTTTCTGTATCCATAGATTCAACTAACCTTGGGTTGAAACTATTTGGGAAAAAAGGATGGTTGTAACTGTGCTGAACATGTAAAGACTTTCTATTGTTATTATTTCCTAAACAATACAATATAACTGTAACTTACCATTTACATAGTATTATGTATTGTTGGCAATCTACAGATGATTTAAAGTTACAGGATGATGTGCATAGGTTATATCAAATACTACACCATTTGATATAAGGCAACCTCTACCTCCCGGGTTCAAGCAATTCTCCTGCCTCAGCCTCCCGCCATTCCCTATGCCCCGGTGTGGGTGAAGGCAACCGACGAGGGAGGAGGGTGACACCCGCTGGGGGCCGCGTTGCATAGGCCACCTGTGTGTGTGTGGGTGCCCTGCCACCCTGGCCTGGATGCCTGGCCCTTCGATTCTGAAATTAGCTGGGATTACAGGCATGCGCCACCATGCCCAGCTAATTTTTTGTATTTTTAGTAGAGATGGGGTTTCACCATGCTGGCCAGGCTGGTCTCAAACTCCTGACCTTGTGATCAGCCTGCCTGGGCCTCCCAAAGTGCTGAGATTACAGGCGTGAGCCACCGCGCCCAGCCAACCTCATCTTTCTTCTGTGGATAAATCCTTCTCACTCTCTTTCTAGCCTTTCTACCAAATAGAGCAAACTGATTCCTCTTTCCAGTTACTCCAAGTACTCTTGCCTTCATTTGCATGTTTTATTTTCATTATAATTACATTAGCATTAAAACAGGCATCTTATTTTCAGTACAACCAGAAATGGTGCATGCACTTTTTCTGTTACTGAGATGTCAACTCTATTTGTTTAAATTCTATGTTTTTGGCTCATTTCATTTCTGTGACTACAAAAATATAAACATTCAACAGTTTCTACCTTCTTGTTGTGCCTGTTTATCCTCATGGTTTTATTGATTCATACATGTTTTCCCGAACTCAACGACTTCTCAGATTCTATTTCTACTAAGAAATATGATACTGTGAACACCCTCAATACAAAGAGTCCCTCTTCTAATCAGTCCTGCACACTCAGCTTATCAAACACTTTGTGACTCACAGATAGATACACAATCTTGAAGACTCTACAGAGTTTGAAGACAGTGGATATCCTGAGCTTTATTCCCTGCTACCAGCATTATAAATGCTAGTGGGCCCCAGAGTGAATCCACAGAGGAGTACTGAAGAGTCCCCAAAAACCCATGATAGGGACTTTTAACCAATTTATCCTTTTTAAAGGGCTTTACTACCTAACAGATCTTCTTATCCAACGCATCTATAATTAACACTGCCCCCAAATTACTTTCCTATAAGGTTATGTATTTCCCATCAGTTATCTATTTTGTAAACCAACAACATTTATAGATGTTAAGCAAGTAATTGAAAACTCACGGCCAGGTGTGGTGGCTCACGCCTGTAATCCCAGCACTTTGGGAGGCCAAGGCAGGTGAATGACTTGAGGCCAGGAGTTCGAGACCAACCTGGCCAACATGGTGAAACCCCATCTCTACTAAAAATACAAAAAGTAGCCAGGCTTGGTAGCATACACCTGTAATCCCAGCTACTCAGGAGGCTGAGGCAGGAGAATCGCTTGAACTGTAGAGGCAGAGGTTGCAGTGAGCTGAGATCATGCCACTGCACTCTAGCCTGGGCAACAGAGTGAAACTCTGTCTCAAAAAAAAAAGAAAAGAAAAGAAAACTCACAATGCTTTAGATCAGGTTCTTTGCATTAAAAATTCAAAACATGAGCAGAAAATGATATATGTTTGTTCAAATAGAAGCAGTCATAAAATAATTAAATGTAAGTTATCATTGCATAATCTGCTCAAAGGGTACATCTGTCTAAGTTCTAATGACATTCAAAGTCCCAAATTTTAGGTTCCCCCACAGGTCCTTTACAATTTTCTTTGAAGATAGAATATTTTTTAAAAATTATTTTATGATAAAGACTAAAATTATGATATGAAAACATGTGGTATATATTATATTAAGGAAACAAGCTTGTTGCAGGCTTTGGATGCAAATTTACTCTGAGTCTCCCAGCAAGCAACAACAGAGGGTCGCAAACAGCAGTGTTTTATTTTAGGCTCAGCCATGGTGCAGCCTCCTTGAGGTAATGCTCTGAATGTTGACAGGCGGCATTACCTCTTTGGGTGGCTTAGAAACTGCCACAGGATGGCCATCATGCCACATTCCATGATGCCGAGGGTCCCAGCAGTGAGATGGCAGTGGCTAATCTCTGAGTCACTGAGCTCCTTCGGCCTGCTCTCTTGTCACCCTTGTTTCTATATTTCAACTGCTCAGAGCTGGATTTGCTTTATGATTTTGGTGATGTGTGAAGAAAATCAGTGTAGCAGATGGAAAGAATTCAAGCCATTTTTTTTAGCAAATGCCACATTTCTGCCAATTATGTATTTTGTTTCTTGTAGTAAAATCCCCAACATGTCATTTTTCAGCATGTCAGGTAAGCC
This sequence comes from Homo sapiens, assembly GCF_000001405.40. NCBI lineage: Eukaryota > Metazoa > Chordata > Mammalia > Primates > Hominidae > Homo > Homo sapiens. Next base: position 10,221 of record NT_187537.1, on the reverse strand, counting down.
TTATCACTTGCTTGTTTAAGTAATATCAGGTGTACTATTTCCTTGCAGAGGAGAAAGGCCTCCACATTTGGTTTTTATGTTCACAACAACTTGGTTCATGGCTTACAACAAACAGAAAGAAACAGTTCTTTAGAGCACAGCCAGAGGCAGAGGCCACAGCCTTGCTTGAGCTTCTACGGTTAGAGACATGACAGGCCGGGAGCGGTGGCTCATGCCTGTAATCCCAGCACTTTGGGAGGCCGAGGCGGGCGGATCATGAGGTCAGGAGATCGAGACCATTCTGGCTAACACGGTGAAACCCAGTCTCTACTAAAAATACAAAAAATTAGCCGGGTGTGGTGGTGGGCGCCTGTAGTCCCAGCTACTCAGGAGGCTGCGGCAGGAGAAGGGCGTGAACCCGGGAGGCGGAGCTTGTAGTGAGCCGAGATCGAGATCGTGCCACTGCACTCCAGCCTGGGCGACAGAGCGAGACTCTGTCTCAAAAAAAAAAAAAAAAAAAAAAAAAAAAGAGACACGATTGAGACCCTGACACTGACAGCAGCTACAGGTGATGCAAGGAGCCAGTACTGAGCTTGGAGCAGACCCTCAACTCCAGTCCTGACTCTGCCAGCCTGTTACTCCAGGTCACCAACAGCTTCTCATAGCCTGAGTTGCTGCAATAGTAAAATCAAAATAAGGCAGACCTCAAAAGATTTAATTAGGAATAAGTGAGATTATGAATATAAACTTGTTGGTATGTTAAAAGGCATCTTATAAGGGGTTGTGATGCTCCTATTATGAGTTGTAAATGTTTTTGCCAATTTTGTCTACTTAAAGTTAGTAATTAAGTCACTGGTATCATGTGGATTTAAAATTTTTCACATATTTTTGTGTCTGACTTTATGCCAAAAGTCCAAATAAAGAGTATTTAGCTAATAATCTGGATAGCATAGCAAACACACATGTCATTAGATTATAGACAAAATAGCTATACTTCTGAGAGAGTTTTAAAATTGCTGTTTACCATTATGGAAACTGAGATGAAGAAAGTCTTTGTAAATTGTACCTTGTAACCTAAGCAATCTAGTAGCTAAGTTATCAAATACCAAATTTATGTAGAATGTTAAAACAACAATTCTCATTAAAAATCTAAGCACAAATGGTTTGGAGTCATCATCCAAATAAGTAGTCATCGTTGTCTCTTTATACACGTATTTATGTATACATATACTAGTAAGACAGAAAGAGCTACAACCATATAAAGAAATGAGATAATAATATGTTTTATAAAAATATGAACACATACACCTATGTACTGTACATATATATAATTACATATACATATGTATTGCATATATATGAATACATATACAGGTATATTGTGTATACATACACATACACATCTTCATGAGACCAATGCCAGGTCTCTATCCCAGAACAATTATGTTGGAATATATAGGGTGACTGCAACACTCGTGCCTAGTAAAAAGCTCCCGGGTGATCTTAACCAGGGCTGAGAACCACTGCTATACCTCTGCATCTGAAAGTCCTCTGAGTAGCTCATATTCTGTATGCACTTAAGTTACACTGGCCCATATGTGTCTATTCAGACTAGAATGATAATACTTATGGCAACATGAAAAGTCTTCCTCTGATAAACTAATTCACTGAACTTTTCATTGCCTCCTAGGAAGGGACAACTGACATCAGTTACCTCCTGGTTTCCATTGTGGTGGGTGGAAACACAGTATACTTTATGACGCCAACAAATGGTGTGATGGAGGGCCTTTCCACTTTTACCCAGTCTCTATGTTGCTTTTCATCTTTCTCATAGCCACATACTAGACCTCTCCAAGTCTGGACTGACAAATTTTATTTTTAGGTATTTATTTGTAGTTCTTGAGACTCTAAGCCCTCATCATCTTCCACGGCTACTCCTGAAATTCTAACCTTCTTAGTGGTCTAGAGTCCAAGGGAGCCTTTGTGAGTTATGACTCCCCACACCTGTCTCTTCTCTGGGACTGTGTAAGCTTTGGTGGTCTGGAAGATAGGAGGTCTATGCTGCAGCTGAATTCAGCAGGGGGCAGGACACAGGAGACACAAGGAGGGAAGAGAGAGTTTATTCCCAAGTAAATGCCACAGCATTGGCTCGTTAAAATTTCCACTCCCCTTATATTGTAGAAGATTTAGAACTACTAATAAATGCTAATTCCCATGGAGTTCTCACATTAATGGAAAACTCAAAATGAAATATTGATTGGATATATGCTAACATGTTGGTGGTCATCACACAGATTTCAAACTAAAAAGTACTGTTTTGATTTCAAATTACCAGTTTCCCGCCTTTTATACCTAGAAAGAATAAAATGTGTCATAGGTAAACGGTTTTTATTTATGTGTCTAAATGGCATTTATGCAGCTTCCCACACGCTAGGTTTTGTGCTAGGCACAGTCACCCAGTGGCAAATTACAGACATTGCCCTTCTGAGACTCTGTTTTGTGAACTAAACACAGAGAATAAAACCGATTGCCGGGGCTGAAAATAATCGAAAACTTTTCACAATGTATCCAGAGTCCCAGCAGACAAATCATATTTAAATTAGGTAAAGGAAAAAAGAGAAGAAATGATCAGTTATTGATCACACTGAAAACACATACATCATCTGAGAAAACCTGAAGCTTTATTTCAGGATCTGTTTGGGTGTAAGAACGTCTCATTTCAAAACGGAGAAGTGTGTACACATATAAAATAGGCCACCCTAAAAAAGGCATGGTGGCCAAGCGCCGAGGCTCACATCTGTAAACCCAGTGTGTCCAGAATTGGTGGGTTCTTGGTCTCACTGACTTCAAGAATGAAGCCTCAGACCCTGGCGGTGAGTGTTACAGTTCTTAAAAGCAGTGTGTCAGGAGTTTGTTCCTTCTGATATTTGGACATGTTTGGAGTTTCTTCCTTGTGATGGGTTGCTGGTCTCACTGGCTCAGGAGTGAAGCTGCAGACCTTTGTGATTACTGTTACAGCTCATAAAGGCAGTGCGGACCCAAACAGTAAGCAGCAGCAAGAGTCCTTGCAAAGAGCGAAAAAACAAACTTACCACACCGCAGAAAGGGACCCCCACTTGGTTGCTGCTGCTGGCTCGGGCAGCCTGCTTTTATTGCCTTATCTGACCCCACCCACATCCTGCTGATTGGCCCATTTTTCAGAGAGCTGATTGGTCTGTTTTACAGAGAGCTGATTGGTCCATTTTGACAGGGTGCTGATTGGTGTGTTTACAATCCCTGAGCTAGACACAAAGTTCTCCAAGTCCCTGCTAGATTAGCTAGACACAGAGCACTGATTGGTGTATTTACAAACCTTGAGCTAGACACAGAGTGCTGATTGGTGTATTTACAATCCTTTAGCTAGACATAAAGGTTTTCTAAGTCACCACCAGATTAGCTAGATACAGAGTGCTGATTGGTGCATTCACAAACCTTGAGCTAGACAAGAGAGTGCTGATTGGTGTCTCTACAATCCGTTAGCTAGACTTAAAGGTTTTCCAAGTCCCCACTAGACTCAGGAGGCCAGCTGGCTTCACCTAGTGGATCCCCCACAGCGGCGGTAGGCAGAGCTACCCACCAGTCCCACACTGTGTGCCGGCACTCCTCAGCCTGGCAGTCGATGGGACCCAGCGCCGCAGAGCAGGGGGTGGCGCCCATTGGGGAGGCTCGGGCCATGCAGGAGCCCATGGCAGTGGGGAGGCTTGGGCCATGCAGGAGCCCACGGCAGTGGGGAAGCCGGGGCCATGCAGGAGCCCACGGTGGTGGGGAGGCTCAGGCATGGCGGGCTGCAGGTCCTGAGCCCTGCCCCGCGGGGAGGCAGCTGAGCCCGGCAAGAATTCCAGCGCAGAGCCAGCAGGCCAGCACTGCTGGGGGACCCCATGCACCCTCTGCAGCTGCTGGCCCGGGTGCTAAGCCCGTCACTGCCTGGGGCCGGCGGTGCCAGCCAGCCGCTCCAAGTGCGGGCTGGCCCAGCCCACGCCCACTCAGAACTCGCGCTGGCCCGGGAGCGCCATGCGCAGCCCTGGTTCCGGCCTGCGCCTCTCCCTCCGCACCTACCCACAAGCAGAGGGAGCTGGCTCTGGCCTCGGCCAGCCCAGAGAGGGGCGCCCACAGTGCAGTGGCGGGCCAAGGGGCTCCTCGAGTGCGGCCAGAGTGGGCGCCAGCGAGGCCGAGGAGGTGCCAAGAGCCAGCAAGGGCTGCCAGCATGCTGTCACCTCTCACCAGCACTTTGGGAGGCCAAGGCAGACAGATCATGAGGTCAGGAGATCAAGACCATCCTGGCCAACATGGTGAAACCCCATCTCTACTAAAAATACAAAAATTAACCAGATGTAGTGGTGCACGCCTGTAGTCTCAGCTACTCAGGAGGCTGAGGCAGGAGAATTGCTTGAACCCGGGAGGCAGAGGCTGCAGTGAGCGGAGATTGCACCACTGCACTCCAGCCTGGGTGACAGAACGAGACTTCCTCTCAAAAAAAAAAAGGCATGGTTCCCACATAAATGTGTGAAATCATGTGACTGATGGTGATAAGATTCTGGCAACATGTTTGTGTCTGACAGACACCACCACTCATCCCCTGATTTTGGCATCTGACAAATCTCACCCTCCCTCACACTGGTCGCTCATGTCCTGAGATACCTATCTGAGTGGCACTTTCCCCAAAGCCCAAATGCAGACATTTAAGGTGCCAATTTTCAGCCTGGGGTCCAATTTGCAAAACAGAATATTTCTTCATTTAAAAAAAAAACAAGGAAAACAGAGTCATATCAGGTAAGCACTTGTTCAGGGAAAATATGATTTTAAATTTGTTGTAAATGGACTTGAAAAGGCTCCTTTGAATTAGGCAGGCTTTTGTGAAAAGTCCTAACATTCACATAGTTGAAGGATTTAGCTGTGCATAACAATATATGATAATGAAACCTTAGCAGACTGTGTTCACTAACATTGTTTGTAAATAGCACACTTTTACAAAGTATTAGTGTATTGTTACTTAATCTATCTACATTTGTACAAAGTAAAGCTTTCCCCTTACCCTTTTGCGTATATGAATCCTCATGAAGGATTTTTTTTACATAACTATGTATATGGTCTTCCCTTCTTATCTAAAAGAGTTTTTCATGATGGACTGTGAACTTCCCTCACCTCCAATTATCATCAGATTGATGTGTGTTGTCATCTTCACTGTTCTGGCTCAAATCAAAAAGTTTTATGCCAGAAACAAAAAGAGTAGGAGACATGAGGGCACATGATTTGGCTAAAAGATCTGAAAAACCTCACCATATAATAAACAAAACATTTCAAAATCTTCACTGAGTCTATAGATTGTTTTGTTTGTCTTTATTTTTGTATTTAGGAACATTTGTATTTTGTTTGTTTGTTTTCTTCTTGTCCATTTGTTTAAGTTCCTTGTAAATTCTGGGTATTAGACCATTGAAAAATTATAGTTTCTTTTGCTGTGCAGAATCTCTTTAATTAGGTCCCATTTGTCAATTTTTGCCTTTGTTGCAATTGCTTTTGGCATTTTCATGATGAGATCTTTGCCAGTTTCTATGTCCAAAATGGTATTTCCTGGGTTATCTACCAGTGTTTTTTTAGTGTTAGGTTTTGCATTTAGGTATTTAATCCATCTTGAGTTGATTTTTGTGCATGGTGTAAGGAAGGGGTGCAATTTCAATCCTCTGTGTACCGCAAGCCACTACCCTGGCACAATTTATTGAATAGGAGGTCCTTTCCCAATTTATTGAACAGGGAATCCTTTCCCTATTTCCCTGTTTCCCTGTTTCTGTGAAACAGCTGTGAAATATGCTGTTTTATATCACTAAATAGCCCTGTATTTTGATTCAAAAGGTTCCAAACACACTTTTCATAGAATCTAAGAAAGGACATTTCTGAGCCCATCGAGCCAATATAGGAACATACAAATATCTAGCCATCAAAATTAAAAACAGGAAATCTTTAAGAAAACTTTGTGATGTGGTGTTTCATATCACTGAATGGAACTTGTGTTTTCATTACAAAGAATCCAAAGTCATGTTTTGTAGAAACTGAAAAATGACGTTTCAGAGAATTCTAGGCCTATTTAAGAAAATACTAATATCCAAGCTAGGGCCTGGCACAGTGGCTCACGCCTGTAATCCCAGCACTTTGGGAGGCTGAGGAGGGCGGATCACAAGGTCAGGAGATCTAGACCATCCTGCCTAATACGGTGAAACCCCATCTTTACTAAAAATACAAAAAATTAGCTGGGCGTGGTGGCAGGTGCCTGTAGTCCCAGCTACTCAGGAGGCTGATCAGGAGAATGGCATGAAGCCAGGAGGCGGAGCTTGCAGTGAGCCGAGATAGTGCCATTGCACTCCAGCCTGGGTGACAGAGCAAGACTCCACCTCAAAAAAAAAAAAAGAAAAAGAAAATACTAATATCCAGGCCTAAGAACTATAAACAATCTCTGTGAGTGTATGCTTTGTGATGTGCTCTTTCCAATCACTGAGTGGAAGCAGTGTTTTGTTTCAACAGGTTCTAAACACACGTTCTATAGAATCTAAGAAATGACATTTCTGAGCTCATTACACCATTATAGGGGCATACAAATATCCAGCCCTAAAAAGTAAAAAGAAGCTATCTGTGAAAAAGCTTTGTGATGCTGTTTTATATCACTGAATGGAACATGTGTTTTGATTGAACAGGTTCCAAAAACGCTTTTTCTGAAATCTAAGAAGTGACATTTCTGAGCCCATTGAGCACTTACAGGAACATAGAATATCAAGCTCTAAAAAGTAAAAGGAAGCTATCTGTGAAAGAACCTTGTGATGTGCTGTTTTATATCACTGAATTGAAAAGGTGTTTTGATCAACATGTTTGAAACACAGTTTTTGTGTTATCTGTGAAGAGACATTCCTGAGCCCATTGAGCTCTTAAAGGAATATACAAATGTCCAGCCCTAAAAACTAAAAACAAGCCATCTGTGAAAACCCTTGTGATGTGCTTTTTTATATCACCAAATGGATCTTGTGTTTTTGTTCCAAAGATCCAAAGGCTTGTTTTGTAGAATCCAAGAAATGACATTTCAGAGCGTTTTAGACCTATATGTGAATATATGCTTATCCACTCGTAAGTACTCCAAACAAGCTCTGTGCAAATATGGTTTGTGATGTGCTGTTTTCTATCACTGAGTGGAGCCTATGTTTTGATTCAACAGGTTCTAAACACACGTTCTGTAGAATATATGAAATTTCTGAGCCCTTATAGAACATACAAATATCCAGCACTAAATATTAAAAAGAAGTTATCTGTGAAAGAGCTTCCTGATGTTATGTTTTATATCACTGAATGGAACATGTGTTTCATTCAACAGGTTCCAGAAACACTTTTTGTAGAATCTAAGAAGGGACATTTCTGAGCCCATTGAGCCCTTGTAGAAGCTTACAAATATCCAGCCCTAAAAAGCAAAAAGAATTTCTCTGTGAAAGAACTTTGTGATGTGCTGTTGTATATCACTGGATGCAGCCTGTGTTTTCGTTACAAAGGATCCAAACACATGTTTTCTAGAATCCAGAAAATGACATTTCAGAGGTTTTTAGGCCTGTATAGAAAATACGAATATCCAGCCTTAAAAATTACGAACAAGCTCTGTGCAAACATGCTTTGCAATGTGCTGTTTCCTATCACTGATTGGAAACTCTGTTTTGATTCAACGGGTTTTTAACACACATTCTGTGGAATCTAAGAAGTGACATTTCTGAGCCCATTGAGCCCTCATTGGAACATACACATATTTAGCCCTCAAAACTAAAAACAAGCAATCTGTGAAAAACCTTTGTGATGTGCTGCTTTACATCACTGAATGGAACATGTGTTTTCATTACAAAAGATCCAAACTTCTGTTTTGTACAATGCAAGTAATGACATTTCAGAGGTTATTAGGCCAATATAGGAAAATACGAATATCAAGCTGTAAGAACTACAAGCAAGTTCTGTGTGAATATCCTTTGTGATGCACTGTTTCTTATCTCTGAGTGGAACCTGTGTTTAGATTCAACAGGTTCTAAACCCACATCTTGTAGAATCTAAGAAATGCCATTTCTGAGCCCTTTGAGCCCTTATGGGAATATATGAATATCCATCCCTAAAAAGTAGAAGTTATCTGTTTAAGAGTTTTGTGATATGATGTCTTATATTACTGAATAGAACCTATGTTTTGATTCAACAGGTTCCAAACACAGATTTGTAGAATCTAAGAAGGGACAATTCTGAGCCCATTGAGCCCTTATAGGAACATAAGAATGTCCAGCCCTAAAAACTAAAAAAAAGCTATCTGTGAAAACCCCTTGTGATGTTCTGTTTTATATCAATGAATGGAACTTGTGATTCCATTACAAAGGATCCAGACTCTGTTTTTTAGAATCCTATAAATGACATTCCAGAGGATTTTTGGCCTATATTAGAAAATGTGAATACCCAAAAATCAAAACTGCAAACTACTCTTTGAGTATATGCTCTATGATGTGCTGTTTACTATCATTAGTGGAACCTGTGTTTTGTTTCAACAAGTTCCAAACACACTTTTTCTAAAATCTAAGAAGAGACATTTCTGAGCCCATTGAGCCCTTACTGGAATGTACAAACATCAAGCCCTAAAAAGCCAAAATAAGTTATCTGTGAAAGAGCTTGTGATGTGCTGTTTTATATCGCTGGATGAAACTTGTGTTTTTATTCAACAGGTTTCAAACACACTTTTTGTAGACTCTAAGAAGAAACACTGCTGAGCTTTTTGAGCCCTTATAGGAACATAAGAATGTCCAGCCCTCAAAACAAAAAACAACAATCTGTAAAAAAAAACTTTGTGACATGCTATTTTATGTCACTGAATGGAACCTGTGTTTTGATTCAACAGATTCTAAACACTTATTTTATAGAATCTAAGAAGTGACATTTTTTGAGCCTATTGAGCCCTAGTAGGAACATATGAAGATCCTGCCCTCCAAAAATTAAAAACAAAAAACAAGAAACAAACAAAAAAAAACAGGCAATTTGTGAAAAACTTTTGTGATGTGCTGTTTTATATTATGGAATGGAACTTGTGTTTTCATTACAAAGGATCCAAACTCATATTTCACAAAATCCAAGCAATGACATTTCAGAGGTTTTGAGGCCTATGTAAGAAAATATGAAATTCAACCCAAAGAACTACAAGCAAGGTCTGTGTGAATATGCTTTGTGATGTGCTGTTTTCTATCACTGATTGGAACCTGGGTTTTGATTCAACATGTTCTAAACACACATTGTGGAGAATCTAAGAATTGATATTCCTGGGACCATTGAGTCCTTACAGGAATATATGAATATCCAGCCCTAAAATATAAAAGGAAGCTATTTATGAAAAAGCTCTGTGATGTCCTCTTTTATATCAGCAAACAGAATGTGTGTTTTGATTCAACAGTTTCCAAACACACTTTTTGTAGAATCGAATAAGGGACATTTCTGAGCCCAATGAGCCCTTTATCCAGCCTTCAAAACTAAAATCAAGTGACCTGTGTAAAACCTTTGTGATATGTGTTTTGTATCATGGAATGGAACTTGTGTTTTCATTACAAAGGGTCAAAACACATGTTTTGTAGAATCTAAGCAATGACCTTTCACAGGTTTTTAGGCCTATATAAGAAAATATGGGCCAGGTGTGGTGGCTCACGCCTGTAATCCTAGCACTTTTTTGGCAAAGAGTGAAACTCCATCTCAAAAAAAAAAAAAGAAGAAGAAGAAGCTATCTATAAAAGAGCTTTGTGATGTGCTGTTTTATATCACTGAAAGGAATCTTTGTTTTGATTCAAAATGTTCCAAACACACCTCTTGTAGATCTAAGAAAGAATATTTGTGAGCCCATTGAACCCTTATAGGAACATACAAATATCCAGCCCTCAAAAATAAAAACAAGCAATCTGTGAAATCCTTTGTTATTTAATGTTTTTTTATTTTTTATTTTATTTATTTATTTATTTGAGACAGAGTCTCGCTCTGTCATCCAGGCTGGAGTACAGTGGCATGATCTCAGCTCACTGCAAGCTCTGTTTCCCAGGCTCAAGCAATTCTCCTCTCTCAGCCTCCTGAGTAGCTGGGATTACAGGTACATGCCACCACACCCAGCTAATTTTTGTATTTTTAGTAGAGACAGGGTTTCACCATGTTGGCCAGGCAGGTCTCGAACTCCTG